>NW_025791774.1:0-205691 GCF_000001405.40 Homo sapiens | reverse complement strand
ACCTATTTTAAATAAATTAGATTCCCAGGGTAGTTTTGTATCCTGCCCTTTTCCAACTAAATATTATTGCCAGCATTTTCATTATCATTAAATATTATTTCAGAGCGTTATTTTTAATGGCCATATAAATCTTACATTGTCTAACACATGTGCTCGATTACTTTTCTATTGTTTGTAATTTACTGCTTCCAACAGGGATCTAAATTTTGTAGAAAGCAAACCAAGATTCAGTTCACTCTTTGGCCATTATGATGGTGTTCTTTGACATTTGGGGCCAGCCTAGTTCCTAAATAGAATTTAAAATCAAGGGATTTAACAATTGAGAGAAAGGTGCTTGACAGCTAATCGAGGAGAACAGTCATTTGGGGAATATTCACTGGTCCTAACAAGGAAAATCGTGGGGTTCTCAGACTCCACCTCCAGATAACTTCTAAAGCCTGCCCTGATAAGGTTCAATTAAGATGAGAAAGATCAGGTAACTTTGCAGGAAGACCGTAATTCCTGCAATACCAAATGTCAAATGTTGCCATTTTAGCTGTTCTGGGTGACTGCCTTGTTATTTCTGAGGGTTTTAAGGGTAGTATTTGTCAATGGCAGCATCACTGCCTTTTCAAAGTAATTAACTTTGTACCCAAAAATAAACTTAATTGTTTAACCACTGGTGTATTAAGCACCATGGGAGGGATGTACCATTTTCTTTGGAAATAAATCTGATTTCTTCAGTCTCCCGAGTTATTTCTCCAGGAACCATGTTATTGTCCTGTAAAATGGTCCACCTCTCCATTGTCTCCTAAGTAGCAGTTAGCTGGGGAGAAAACAGTTATATTGATATATGAAGTTGGAGGCAGATGCCAAGCTAATTGATCTGAGTAGGTTAAATGGGAGGAAATTCTTCCAAGAATCAATAGAGGTGCTAATTTGACTAATTGTTGGATAGTGTTTCTTTTTTAAGTGAGTGATTTTCCCAATTACTGTTTATCATGTTGTTGTTTTTTTTTGCCCTGAGTTTATCAGTTTTAACTTTACTAAACCTTCCATAATATTGGCTTCCAATGTGTCTTTACCCCTAAAGTTTTAATTGGCCATCTGGTGACAGGTTGTTTTCCTGGATGTGCTGATCTACGGTACAAAAACTAGGCCTGGCCTGTTACCAAGATGACTCCAGCAGAGAAAATTTTCTACCAATGGAATTGAAAACAAAAACAAGAGTTCTCGTCTTATTAGAGTTGAAGGACCAAGGAATAGAAGCTTAAGCATACTATTTAAAGTTACAAGGGCAACCGATAGACAAATTAAAGACGAACCCCTTATTGATTTACAAACTAGGAAGAGGAATGTAGAAGGGGTGGATAGTAAACTATTTCCATACCTTTCCAGAGGTGTGTGTATGGGGGGACATCAATAGATATTGCTTATGACTGATGATTCAGAACACGGTCAACAATGGATGCAAGGAGTGGAAGTGAGAAGGAAGGAGGGAGAAAAGGAAAGAGATTTTTATTTTTATTTTTTTAACTCCACTATGTAATTGTATTAGTCCATTTTCATGCTGCTGATAAAAACATACTCAAGACTGGGTAATTTATAAAGAAAAAATGGTTTAATGGACTCACAGTTCCACATGACTGGGAGGCCTCATAATCATGATGGAAGGCAAAAGGCACATCTTACATGGTGGCAGACCAGAGAGAATGAGAATCTAGTAAGAGAGGAAACCTCCTATAAAACCATCAGATCTCATGAGACTTATTCACTATCATAAGAATAGTATGGGGGAAACCGCCCCCATGATTCAATTACCTCTCACCAGGTCCCTCCCACAACATGTGGGAATTATGGGAGCTACAAATTAAGATGACATTTGGGTGGGGACACAGCCAAACCATATCAGTAATAATTTAAAAATAATAATAACATAAACAAAGATGTTGGGGGTTTAGAAAGAACGGTGAGGAGATAAGAGCAAATGGGGAATCCTAGAGTCTTATAACGTAAGGGCTGAAAGAGACCTACAAGAACAAAGTTCCATTCTCTCCCTTTACAAATAACAGACTAACAGACAGATAGTTGAATAATAGAGAATATTAGAAACATCAAAACTCAAAAAAGACAAAAGAGAGTATACTCTACTCATATGCATGATATTTTCTTGGAATAATACTTGGAAAGTTCTTCTTGCTAACCCCCACCTCCCAAGATTCTAAAGCCTGCTCACTAATGCCTGAAATTCTCTTAAGAAGGGACTAAGCTTTTCATTCCAAAATGAAGGACACCCTAGGGAAAAATTTACACATTAACTCAGGGTTCTGCTTGAGTGATTTTGACCTAAATTGGAACAAAGGTTTAAATGTCTTACATTAGAAGAGTACAAAGCTCTGAACACTGAGATAGAGGAAACTGTCAATATGAGCTTTAAAAGGGATGGCCAAAAGCACCAGATACAAATATTTTGCATCCTAACTGTCTCCTGCTGTGTTTCCTGCTGTCCACTCTCTTTCTTCAGCCTTCTTGTTTCTACCTGTGAATTGGTCCATGATGTTGTAGTTGTTTTATGGTTAAAATCAGCATTGGAATTGGATTTTCAAATAGCTACTGTTCAATTTTGGCTGGAATCATTGGCAGATCTTCCTGCGGGAGTTTTTACTGTCATATCAGGGTGGTAATGAGAAACTTGAATCAACACACTGGCTGGTGGCTAACTGGAAAGAGAGAAGAAGTTTTCAAAGCCTTCCCCCAGGAAATTCATTGGTTAAAAGAATCCACAAAAACAGCAGGGAATGAATAAGTGTATCCCTGCCGGTAATGTGTCAATATTGTCATCATCATCATCATTGTCACTACATTTGGGTTGTCATGGAATCTAGAACAACTTCTTTCACTTCTCTGAAGATCAGCCTGATCCTCTATAAAATGGGGAGATTGAATATTTCTCTGCCCACCTAGTAGAGTTAGGAGACACAAACATGGGAAAAGAAGTGAGGCAAAGATGCACAGGAAAGCCATTAGAAAGCACCAAGCAAATATGAACATAATCAGAAATGATCCCACGGTCATGAGCTCTTTGAGGTCAGCTGTCCCACAGAGTATAGCATACAGTGCTGCTCATCATGGACATTCAAATGTGTTTTATGTATGTGTAGCAGAGAAAACAGGGCAAAAATAAACAAAAATGGAAACTGACAATGTAACAGATTCCATAAGGCAGCATACGACTAGCCAGGGGTATGTATAGACAGTGCTATAATTTCAGAGGACACTGAGACCTCCAGAGGGACTCTGGAGTAATGTTGTGAAGGAGAAACTTCTGCTGGGTCTTGAAGGCCAGAGTGGGTTTAACTGGATACTAAAAAAGAGAGAAGTCAATAGAAGATAAGAGCCCAATGTAATTGGCAAATTTATCAAGTGTTTACAATGCATCCAGATATGATTGTCTGGTAGCCCTTTACGTGTAATTTTTAGTCTCCCCAAGAACTTTCTGAGGCATAGGTATAAATCATGTAGATGAGGCCTGCCAGAGAAACTCTCAACATGGTTTTTAAAGCTAAGCAATAGCTTTCAGGATGTGTCACTGACAGGCTTAAGGCCTCGAATGGGAGAAAAGAGAAAAAAGAGGCTGATAGACAATAGTGGTGAAAGAAACAAAATGGAAGAAAGTAAAAAATAAAATTAGCAAGTGGATGGAATAGAAAAAGCAAAATGGGTAGATGGAAGATGGGATAGAAAGGAGGTGAAGTGATGTATGAGCCTGAGCATGGTAAAGGGGAACAATGATGCCAAAGGCTCCATGAGGTTACCATTCCCACATGGGCTGGGCCAAGCTCAAGGTTAATTATTAGAAAACAAGAGCTCTGACCCTGGGTTCACTACTAATTAGTCAAGAAGCCCTGAGCAATCTGACCAACCTGCAACTGACCTCCTCACTTTATCTGTTTCTTATTCTGGTATGTCACCTCTCCTAAGCACAGCATTAAATGATTGGGAGAGGAAAATGAGCATATATTATGTGAAAACATTTGGAATTAAAAATGCATCAAGCAGAATATTTCATTGTACTTCAAGAAAGCATTGAACATCAACCAAGATCCATATTAGGTTTTAAAGATTAGAGATACGCAATACCTAGCCTCTACCGTCAAAGACCTCACAGACCACTGATGGAGACAAGATATATTAACAAATGTATTGCCAAAACAGTATGAAGAGTGTAAAAAGAAAAACACATTCCAGGAGTACAGAATGGTTAACTCTATCAGGGGAGGTCAGGGAAAGCTCAGGGGAAGTGTCATAGGAAGAAAATGTGGATGTCAGTATTTGTTTTATGAGAAAAAAAATAAAAGGAAAGTAATGAAGGGAAAGATAAGAAGTAAATAAAATGTCCTACTTTAAACCTACCTAATTCAGTATCAAATGAACAATGTATTTTGTTAATGCCCAACTTTCTTTCTCTGTGATTTTAATCAAGTCCAAAATGATACTTGGGAGATTAAATTACCACCCACAAGACCTTGATTTATCCAGGGAAAAATGGACTGTTTGAGCCTCTATCCCCTGAACAGAACAGACAAGCCAATTTTGCCTTGAAAAAATCAACAGATAGAGGCATAACAAAGGTCATATATTATGAGGCTGCAGATGGAAATTCTGCCCCAGCAGTTACATTGACACAGTTATTACTGTTATTACAGCTAAACATCCTCATTCCGCTGACATTATTAACCAAGACAAACGTGGCCCTGCAGCTTTATTTCATGGGGCAGATCACCTATTAAACCAAGAACAATATCATTGTCTTTTGTAGCACTTCCAAAATTGTTTCCTGCCTCTAAGAGGTTTCCTGGGCTTTTTTCCCTTACCATCAAAATAGACACCATCCATCTCCTATATGCTGTTATATGGCCAAGTTCTGTTTTGCATTTCCCAGTTTATTCCCATAATAGTCACTCAGGTAAGAGGTGTGCAACAGTTGTAAAATGAAAACATTATGAAATCATCAACATGCTCTCTAGCAATCTCATTTAGATACGTACAGAGTCAATCAGTCCCTTAAGAAGCCCAAAATTTATCAGGCTATTTTTTCCCTCTGCCCAAAAATGCAGGCATCAGGATCCATTAGTGAAATTTATCACAGAACTTGAGAGTGCTCCCTTAATCTGGAGAAAGAGACAAACTCTCAGAGAGGATGAGTGATCTAACAAAGATTATGTGAATATATGTGACTGGACAAAGACTAAAACTGAGGTATCTAAACATATTATCACCTATTTATCTAGGTGAAATGGCTACTCTTTTTGAAACGAGAATGCAGATCATTATTTGTTATGTGAGTGATGAACCAAAATTCAAACACCTTTATTGAGCTTATGAGTTGGGCTGATTTTTGCATGACAATTTTCCTCATTTAATTATACCTTTCTTACCTCAATTAATTTACTGAGTAAATGTAAATATCATTTCCACACTCCATGTGCCTCGGATTTATTTCAATCTGATAATGTTCCCTTCTTGTCAAAAGGGGAACAAATCCCCTGTAAGCATTGATGCCCCTAGAACTGACATTAGTGACTATTTTTTATGGAGTCTTAGGTGCATTGTGTAATTATAAATATAAACTCTGACAGAAATAATTATGGTAATCATTCAACAGCATCCTCTGTTCTCCTGTGAATGGTAACCTCAAGAGTCAGGGTCCAACAAGAAGTCCGGGACAATGTAATCCTTAAGAAAAAAGAAATAGCTTTTAGGTTTTATGAAACTCCAAATAATCAAGTCTGTCCAAGGAGATTTGCCATATGGTTTGGGCTTTTGCATGCCTTTTCTTGAATTTTCTTCTCTAATAAAATACACCGACGTGTCGCTGTTGAACAACAACAAAATAGCAGGACTCAATGTTCCAGTGGCATCAAGGTCAAGAGACTGACTTGTGAGGGCCTCTGTGGTCTGTCTCTCCCGTGGCCTCCACTCTCGCGGCCAACCTGGCCGATGGCAAAAGAGATGAGTGGAGGCAGAACCCTGTTGTTTCGGTGGTTTCTCTGGTCTGTGGGCAGTCGGACTGATCCAGGGCCAGACCCGGCTCCCCAGCTCTTTGCCTTTTGGCGACCAGCCACCTGGAGTCTGTTCAAATGAACAAGCTGCCTTTTCTTCCTACATATTGGTTTCTCCTCCATTTGAAAACAAAACTCTTCCCCATCTGCTTGCTTCTGGGATCACCATAATTGCATGGAGGATAATTGGCGGCAACTCAATCTGAGGAAAACCCTGTTGATTCGAAGCACAGTCTCAATAAACGTTTGTGTTTCATCGTTTAGCTAAATGGAGCCTGCGTCCCAGCCAGCTCTGCTAATGCAAAAGTGGAAATTAATAGGAGGCATATGAGAAGGAGGGGAAGCATTGAACAACGCTCTGCCATGACCCCTTTGTTTCTAAGGAGCCTCTATTATCAGGGAATCCATTGATTTGTCTGGATCATGTCCCCAAAACCCATAAAACACCAAAGTAAATGATGCACCCTTCAAACCAGTGGGACTGGCAAGAGTAGGGCCATTTTCCTGACTAAGCTATGGCTCTGGATCTGAGAACTGAGCCAGTCAACTCCCACAAAAAGGAAAAGAGCATTGCTTTGATACCTAACATTTGCCTTGTAAAATGGTCATTGCCTGCCATGAAAGAAGCCACTAGCGTTTGTGCACAATCTATGAGCAGAGAGCATTGAAGCAAGAGAACAAACTTGTCATTCACATACCTGGGTTCGAGTCCTGCCTCTGATACTTATTAGTTATGTAACCTTGAGCATATCCTTCAATCATTCTCAGCTTTAGTGTCTCATCTCCAACATGGGGATGAAGAATCATTTCTAACTCATAGGGTTGCTGCAAATAAGATTATTTATGTAAGGATCAGATCAGTACCTGACGCATAGTCAGCTCTGGAAAACTTGGCTATTATCACTTATGAAGTTGGTGTTTATTCAACCAACCTTTACTGAGCATTTACTATCTAGCAGTCACTGAATTATATGCTGGAAATACCACAAAGAAAAATATGGACAAGGTTTTTGCCCTCACAATCTTAGAGACTTATAAAGGAGACAGACAATAAACAAACAAACAAAAAAATTGTAAACAACATAATTTGAAATAGTAACAATTTCTATGACGAAAATAAAACCAAGTAGATTGGGTAGAGAGAGGCTGTGGTGATGCTACTACTTTAGATAGGTTATTCAGGGAAGGCCTTTCTAAGGAAGAACTTTCTGAGCTGCCACCTTAATGCTTAAGCATAGAAAAAACTAGTACAAAGGCCTAGTAATGGACATGGTCTTGCCATATTCAAGGAAAAAAAAAAAAAAGAAAACCAGGGAGGTTGTAACACAGTGGACAAAGGGTAAATGAGACATGAGATGAAGTCAGAGGGATTGCAGGACTTTGTGGTTCAAGGTACACATTTTTTTGTGTGCAATTGAAGGCTCTGAAAGGAACTGTTGTCATGTGATTTACATGTTTAAATGTTCAGTCAGGCTGCTTTGCCAACCGACTGGCAAGGGCAAGAGCAGAAGCACCCACAGCAGCTGGCGCAGTGGGTTCAATGAAAGATGATGGTCACTTTGACTAGGGTGGTAGCAGTGGAGATGAAGAGAGGTGGGCAGCATTCAAGCCATACACCATTCTTGCTATGTAAGTCAGCTCAGCACATGTTTACTTTCACTGATCTGATTAAGGTTTTGTGTCAAACCCAGAGTTCACCTGTACAGCAACACACAGGGTTAAAATGAGTTCTCTTCCAAAGACTTCTTTTCACTCTGCCAGGCTGGCAGAGTGGGGTAGTGGAAAGTCCCCTGAACTTTTAGTCGAAAGAACTGAGAATGAGCTGGGCTCTGCCATCCACCAGCTGTGTCACTTTGATCACGTCACTCAACACACAGCCTCAGTTACCTCATCTGTAAAATACAGGGGTTCTTACCAAACTCATAGAATCGTGAAGATAATGTACATGAAAACTGTTCTGTGAACTTCAACATTATATTGGAATGTAAGGAAGTATTTCTAAACAGAGAGCTAGAACAGATGCTTCTGATGTTCTTGATGTCCCCAGCCCAACCATAAGGGCCAACTGGGCTACATCCTGTTTGAGTTTCTATATCAGTTTCCTATAGCCATGGTAACAGATTTCACAATTCTCTCACAGTTCTGGAAGCTATAATCCCAATATTGAGATGTGAACAAACCAATCTCCTTCCAAAGCCTCTAGGGAAGAATCCTTCCTCGCCTCTTGGAGTTTCCAATAGTCCCAGGTGTTCCCTGGCTTTCAGTAGCATGACTCCGGCATTGCCTCCATCTTCCCAGGGCCACCTTCCTCTGTGTCTGTGTGTCGCTGTAGCTTCACCTGACATTCCTCTTTCTGTTTCTCTGGTTTCTCTTCTTATAAGGATATCAGTTATATTGGATTAGGGCCCACCCTAATTGAGGATGATCTCTTCTTCACTTGATTACAGCTGCAAAGATCCTATTTCTAAATAAGGGTACCAAATACCGAAAGTAAGGACTTTGGCCAGGCACATTGGCTCATGCCTGTAATCTCAGCTCTTTGGGAGGCCAAGGCAGGCAGATCACTTGAGTCCAGGAGTTCAAGACCAGACTGGGCAACATGGCAAAACCCATCTCTACAAAAAATACAAAATTTAGCCAGGCATCGTGGCATGCACCTGTAGTCCTAGCTACTCAGGAAGCTGAGGTTGCAGTGAGCCAACAGCGTGCCACTACACTCCAGCTAGGGTGACAGAGTGAGACCCTGTCTCAAAAAAAAAGAACTTTAACATTTCTCTTTGGGCAGGACACACACAAAAATAAATATTCAGATCTAGACTGCCCTGGTGTCTTGGTAAACAGAAGAGCAATAACCAGTTTTAAGTTTCAGGAGGTGTCTTGGCAAGAGGGCAAAATCAAGAATCCAAAGGATAGAATCATAAGGAGATGGGATGAGATGGGCTAAGCATTATGTTAAAACCAAAAATTAAGCTGGAGCCATCTGGTGGCCCCAGGCAGGGAGGTTCAAGGTGGAAGAAATATGGAAAAGAGAGAACACAGAGCAAGTTGGCATTGTTATCGGGAAAGAAAGCATTAAACTGGTACAACTGGAAATTAAGCTGGTACAACTGGGAGCAGTGAGGGCAGTTGTAGAGTTGTTGGCACACACAATGGATACTGCCTGGGCATTTCATTTGCCCGGCAAAGAGTAGGTTGCCCAACAAGAAACAAAGAAAATGATTCAAAGAAAGCAGGTTTCATGTTCTGCAGGTCCTTAATTGAGCACAGGTGGAAGCCCTAAAGAAATTAGGCTGTAAGTCACTGTGAATCGTATGTGTGTTTGACAGTGGCTCAGGCTGGCAGGTAGCCATGTTCCTGGGCGGACAAATTGAAGAATTAAAAATATCTTCTTTTGTTGGGTTCCTTTTTTGTTTGTTTTAATAAAACTTCAATTTAAAACTTTCATTAATATATACTCAATTTTACAAAACAGAGATAGTAAGTAATAATTCCAACATCTTAACACTTTTCTTCCTTAGCTAGGGGAGGGACTCTAATCCTGGGATTAATCAGGTACATTAAAAAAATACTCAAATGGAGCTTTGTGGGATGTCATCTGAAAGAAATTAATTCAAAGAATGTTGAATTTTATGTAGAAAGGAAATAATCAGAATATTCTCTTTCCACAAGAAATCGTAGTGGCTTCCAGCGATCAAAGCAGTGGGCAAATCATTATCCTAGAGCTGGTGAAATGAAATGTGGACTTTGAATCCATAAAGTGGAACTGACAGTGCTTCTTCCGTGGCATCAAGTACTGCCATGTGAATTTTACTATATACTATTTCACTCACATATGTCATATAAAACCACAGTAACACACATTTATTAGCATCAACACTGTGCTACATTCTTAGAGATATATGAATATGTTAATGTAGTTTTGTGTCTCTGAGTTTATATATTTACTCATCTAGCACTCACACTAGACTGAAAGCCCCCCAAAATCAGGAGCTGTCTTTCATCTCCATATCTGTGGACCATCGTGTAATCATAGCCCCCAAAAATATATGTATCTAAGATACAAATAGCTCACTTTTCCTTAAATCTATGAGAAAAAACTCTCTGGGTGAGTGACATTTGAACTGAGGCTTGGCAGAAGAATAGAAGGACATACTAAGCAGAGAAAATGAAAGCATGAAAGTAGGGAGTCATTCAGAAAAAAATTAGAAAATGGCAATTTTGATGTTAAGTTCAAAAAGTTAGCTGGTGCCACATGGTGGCCCCAAGAGAATGATCCCAACCCTCCTTTCCAGAACTCAGTGTCAGTTAGGGTTTAATCTAGAAAGAGAAATAACACCAGGTATTTCCGTCGGGAAGATATTTAATATAGGTAATTGGGAGCTTAGAGAATTTCAAGAGCTGCTGGAAGAGATGGTTCCAGGCTGATCCTCCAGGAACAGCTGGATCAGCATAGAATTGAGCCACCAGGAGAGCTACTGCATTGGAGAGAACTGGGGCTGTGCCAGGATCAAGAACCCACTTGTATCGGTTGTCCCACAATAACGGCCTCCAGATGCCCAGGAAGCTGACAGTGGACAGTGAATGCAGCTGCAGAAACATCTACCTACCCATGCCCTTGGTCCAAGAGGAAGGGCAGAAAGATGCCCTCCACTTCACTGGCACCTCCCAGATATTGCACAGAATCACTCACTGGTGGAAGCTAATTCAAATCCAGAGCCCTATCTAGAAAGAATTCGAAGAAACGCAGTTTAAGATGGTTTTCACCTCTTTAATGTCTCCAACTAGAAAGAAGGTGGAGGTTTAAATTATTCAAACCAAAATATCCACAAAACTATATTACAGTATTAAAGTGAAGATGATAAATATGATGGTTTGGGAATTTTTGCCTGGCTGCCATATGCACGAGGAACTAACCAGAGTCTGAAACAGAGAAACCAATGTAAACAAATAACAGAGTTTTTAATTTATATTGTCAATAAATATTAATCAGATATTTTATCAGTTCCTAAAAATGTTGTTTTAATATTTTTCCTACTTTGGAGAGTGTGTGTGTGTGTTTTAAGAAAACTGCTTTATGACCGATAAGGGCATTTATCAGTAGGGAACAATGAAATACTGATAAGGAAAAAGCATCTCTTGGCTCAGAAGGGCTGCCCACAGTTGTCATCTTACACTGTGCCTTGCTGAATCCTGGAGCCATCCACGGGATTTCTTGAATTAGTTTGGCATTTTAAATATTGGCTGCAGTTTTAGGTCAAGCAATGGTTTACATTTCTTTTTTTTTTTTTTTTTTTTTTTGAGACGGAGTCTCGTTTTGTCGCCAAGACTGGAGTGCTGTGGCGCGATCTCCGCTCACTGCAAGCTCCGCCTTCCGGGTTCACACCATTCTCCTGCCTCAGCCTCCCGAGTAGCTGGGACTACAGGCGCCCGCCACTGCGCCCGGCTAATTTTTTGTATTTTTAGTAGAGACGGGGTTTCACCGTGGTCTCGATCTCCTGACCTCGTGATCCACCCGCCTCGGCCTCCCAAAGTGCTGGGATTACAGGCGTGAACCACCTCGCCCGGCCAATGGTTTACATTTCTATGGGGTTTGTTCAATATGGTGCCTTAGGTTTGGGTATTTGTGAACTGTCATTGTAATTGTGCATCTAATATGATGTGACTTCAGTATGTCCCTTACACTAAAACCACCCAAGCAGCTTTCAGAACTATAAGGGTATTAATAAGGGTATTTATAAGGGTATTAATAAGGGTATTAATAAGGGTATTAATAAGGGTATTAATAAGGGTATTAGTTTAGGGGAAAAAAAAATCTCCATTTAAAAACAGAAATAACAATGGCCACATTAGCAGTAAGGCTTTCAAGATTTGTGACTGTGAGAAAACAAAGTCTCAATCACTTTATGGCTACTAAGCTTCTCTCTAATGCACCACTAAGGCAGCAAGGATGTATGTATTCAAACGGAGCTGGTTCCCAGTTCTGTTCCTTATAAGCTGTGTGACCTTGGGCTAGTTATTTAACAGCTCTACATCTCAGTTTCCTTGTCTGTGAAATGGACACTTAATAAAGTGGTTGAAGAGCTTCACAAGATATATAATTTCTGGGTCCAGGCACAGTAGCTTATGCCTGTAATCCCAGAACCTTGGAAGGCTGAGGCAGGTGGATCACTTGAGCCCAAGACCAGCCTGTGCAACATAGCAAGACCCTGTCTCTAAAAAAAAAAAAAAATTAAAAAAGATATAATTTCTGCCATATGGTATGGTTCTAATAGATGTTAATAGATGTTACTTCTCTCTCTCTCTCTCTCTCTCTCCTTTCTCTCTTTCATATTTTCTACTCAAGGATATGTTTAAGGAGCATACCTTGTGTCTCCTTGTTCCTTGTACCTATGTGTTTACCTGGCACATAGTAGGTTCTCAATAATTTTTTTTGAATAGTTAATTAATGCCAGGATGGGCTGATGAATTGATGGATGCATGGATTGTTCATAACAGCCGCTCTTACTATGATCTATTGCTGGATGATCACCTGGGCTGTGCTTACATCTCTGTAATGCCGTGGTGAGGTTACACTGCACACACTAGCCGATGCTGTGCAATAAAAGCCACAGTCATTTTCATTCCTGACTAAAACCTAACAGGACCCTCCCTCTCACTGCCACGGGAGACTTGACTTGCATTTGAGGACCGAGGAGTAATTGTCCTTTCCAAGGGGCTTATTTCACAGTCGATTATGCAGTGGCAGCCCCAGACATACCATTTTAAACATGGATAGCATGTCCTTGAAGAGCCCAATTGCTTTGACAAGATGCAGTCACTCAAAATATTAAATATCACTCAATCTTCAAAGCAACTTATCATATCAGCTCACCCCTTCTGTGGCAGGATTTGCCATTGTCACAACATAAAATAAAATAAAAATAGCCTGACTTAAATGCTAGGCTTGGAGATGAAATCAGTCAATTACTGAGCCACAGTATCCACAGTGCCAGATACTACCAACAAAACGTCACTTGGTGAAAGGCTCAGACACGGCTGTTTGGCTGGCAACAGCCAAGCAAGTACTCTCAACCAAGTGAATGTAGGGCTCCAGTTTTCTGCAATCTTGAAGGACTTCAGTGTGCCACCCCATTCCTCTGGTGGAAATCCTATGGCTCATTCTCATCTCTCAGTGCCTCCAAGTAGTATTTTTACCTTAGCTGCCTAAGCCACCGCTGGTTTCATTAGTGACTGCAGAAAGAAACACCAGGTCCTCTTCCTTGCTTCTAACTCACTATGGACAATAGAGGCAGGGTGGTTTGAATAACTCCTGGAAAGCAGGCTGCTAGCTGAGGCTTTCTCTCCCCCTGAGAAGTGAAATTATATGAGCCTTTGATCTCACCTTTATGTTCCTCCTCTGAAGTGAATTTTATGCCTGTGGAAAGTGCCAGAATAGGAGGCCAGGAAAATGAAGGCTTGTACTTGCCAATGAGAGAGGTCAGAGAGCAAAAATAATCCCTCCCTTAAAGGTCAGTTTTGTCCTCCCATGTCTAGGGGGTTTAGGAAAAAGCAGTCCAAGAACCTGACTGTTTCTTGTCTCTGCTGCAGTCTAATTTGAAAGCTTAGTCAACTTCTTGTTCTGCCTTGGTCTTCCCTTCTGTTGAGTGGGCACCACCATGCGTGTCCTTTTTCTTCCTCAGATAGAGATTTGAGAGTAAAGGCGTCTGCAGGTCTGTAATGCTTCTGAGCTTACCAGAGCCCAAGCATGATTGAATCAACTCAATCAACTTAGAACCAAAGCAACTTCTGGGCAATGATGAATATGCAAGTGCTCACAAAGTTTCCACTGTGCCCTCCAGACTGTGCCCACTTCTGTGTGAAGCAGACAGAGAAGAAGAATGGGATCCTGCCCTCACCCAAGCATTACCTAGGCAGTTTCTTGATTTCCCTAGGAATGAAAACACAGAACTATTCAGGAAAACAAAAACAAGCCAACATATAATTGAGTTCAAAAAAAAAGTGTAAAATTGACCATAGCCACTTATGCCTTCTAAAGGAATTGAGAGTGTGGAGAATTAGTATAACTTAATAACTGTAAAGTATTGTGGAACTAGCAATTGCATCAAGGGGCTACCGCCGCTAGGACTGGGAAAACTGAGGAGGAAAGTTGGCATCAAAACAGTGAAAGATCCAGGGAAGCTGAAACTCAGACTTTTGAGGAGGGGGCGCTACTTGGCTGGAACTGGTGTCCCTGAGGGTACATAATGAGGGTGTTCTTGCAAGTTTTGGAAAAACTTCAACATGCATTCAGCTGCTGGGGTGAGGAAGCATCCCCTCAATGATACTGACATGAACTGAAAGTTGAATAAGCAAAGAGGAAAGAAACAGGAAGAAGAGAATCCCTTCTCCCCTCCGGTGTGGCTCATTATCTCTCTCTAGCACCTCCTCTTGGCAGAACTTAGGGAGCAGCAGGCAAAGCCAAAGGTGGTGGCTGAGTCCAGCTTTAGCCCTGCATCACAGAAAGGAATAGAGAAGCGTCAATTTGGAGTGGAGAAACAATTACTTAATAACTGACACTGGGGGTAGGGAGGATAATCAAGGAGAGATAAAGGTGTGTACCACGTTGGAGCTAGTGCTATAAAGATACAGGGTAGAGAATAAAACTCAAGGGAAGCAGAAAACTGGAATGAGAAGTAAGTAGTTAAAAATGTGAGCCCTTGGAATTTACAAGCAAAATTTGAAATGGGGTTAAACACAACACAGACCACAAAATCAGGGTGAGGCAGTTGGGGTGCTGGGGGCAGGTGTTAGTGAGCCACCCAGCCAGCCTGGTGGCAGAGCAAGACTCCATCTAAAAAAAAAAAAAGGAGGATAGACTTTGACTTTGACTTAAATACAAGTTTCACTAATTACTCAATGTATGACCTTGGGCAACTAGCTTAAACTCTTTTTTTTTTTTTTTTTTTTTTGAGATGGAGTTTTGCTCTTGTTGCCCAGGCTGGAGTGCAATGGCGCGATCTCAGCTCACTGCAACCTCCACCTTCCGGATGCAAGCGATTCTCCTGCCTCAGCCTCCTGAGTAGCTGGGGTAACAGGCATGCCTCACCACACCTAGCTAATTTTTTGTATTTTTAGTAGTGATGGGGTTTCACCATGTTGGCTAGGCTGGTCTAGAACTCCTGACCTCAGGTGATCCACCCGCCTTGGCCTCTGAAAGTGCTGGGATTACAGGCATGAGCCACCGTGCCTGGCCAACTTGCTTGAACTCTAGGCTTCATTCCACATCTGCAAAGTGGGAATTATAATGCTCTCTCTGTCATAAGGTTATTGTGATGACTGATTGAGAAAATTTTGTAAAAGAGCATAGTGAAACACCTGCATAAAACAAGTACTAAATTTTTAAAAATCTTTTCAAGTCTATTTATATATATTATTCATACTTATTAATGATGCTATGGCAGAAACTTATTTGCTCCCCAATATCTGCTTTTTCTTTCAAGCACAATAGTGAAACTTTTAGCTGGGCATATGGCTGCAGAGTAAAGACTTTATTTCCCAGCTATCCTTGTTCTTATAGCCAGGTAACTAAGTTGTGACCAATAAGATATTAAGCCAAGTGATGCATTCAACTTCTGGGTGGTGCCTTTAAAAGGAAGGTGCCTCCTCTGCTTCCCCCTCCTCTTTTCTGCTGTCTGGGATGCAGACACTGTGGGGAGCCATCTTGTACTTTATAGATGAGGACAGCACCCCATGGATGGCAGAGCAATGTGATAAAAGGAATCTATTCACATGACAAGAGCACAGAACCATTATAGCAGCCCAGACTGTGTGTAAGAATGAAAAAAATTTTCATCATGTTGAAGTCACTGTAATTTAGAGTGACATAGACTTGATCTCTGCCCTTATGGAGCTTATATTCTAAAAAAAAAAGTGTAACTTTTAGAAAGATGTATCTGATAGAATGTTTTTGGTTTCAAGAAACAGCTTAACAAAAAGCAAAGAGGCTTTGAGATAAAGGTTTGCTTACTCACATAAAAAGGAGTCTGGGTGGCTATAGGGTTCATTCAACAGTTCAGTAATACCAAGGCTCTGTGTCAGCTTTTCTGTGATGCTCTTGGATCCTCATCCTCATGGTCTAATGATTGCTGCCATAACTCTAAGCATCACATCCTCTGATATGGTTTGGCTCTGTGTCACCACCCCAATCTCATGTTGAGTTGCGTTGTAATCCCCAATACTGGGGCAAGGGCCTGGTGGGAGGTGATTAGATCATGGGAGCATGTTAATTAGTCAGGATTCTCTAGAGGGACAGAAATAATAGGATATATGTATATATTAAAGGGAGTTTATTAAGGAGAATTGACTCATATGATCACAAGGTGAAGTCCCACAGTAAGCCATCTGCAAGTTGAGGAGCAAGAAAATCAGTGGTGGATCAGTCTGAGTCCCAAAACCTCAAAAGTCGAGAAGCCAACAGTGCAGCCTTCAGTCTGTGGCCAAAGGCCCGAGAGCCTCTGACAAACCACTGACGTAAGTCCAAGAGTCCAAAAGCTGAAGAACTTGGGGAGTCTGATTTTCAAGGGCAGGAAGCATCCAGCACAGGAGAAAGATGGAGGCCGGAAGACTCAGCAAGTCTAGTCCTTCCATGTTCTAATGCCTGCTTTATTCCAGCCATGCTGGCAGCTGATTAGATGGTGCCCACCCACACTGAGGGTGGATCTGCCTCTCCCAGTCCACTGACTCAAATGTGAATCTCCTCTAGCAACACCCTCACAGACACATCCAGGAACAATACTTTGCATCCTTCAATCTAATCAAGTTGACACTCAATATTAACTATCACAGGGCGGAAGTCCCTTATGCTGTTCTTGTGATAGTGAGCGAGTTCTCACGAGATCTGATGGTTTAAAAGTGTGTGGCAGTGCCCCTTCACTCTCTCTCCTGGCAGAATGAGAGATGTGCTTTGCTTACCACCGTGCTGTGCCTCGCCTTCTGCCATAATTGTATGTTTCCTGAGGTCTCCCCAGCCATGCTTCTTGTACAGCCTGCAGAACCATGAGCCAATTAAACTTCTTCATAAATTATCCAGTCTTGGGTAGTTCTTTATTGCAATGTGAGAACAGCCTAATACACCCTCACACACATGCAAAAATATAAAAAGCAGGGAAAATGGGGAAAGGTGTGTTCCTTGTTTGTCTTTCTCATATATTAGGGCGGAAAGTCTTTGACAACATCCTCAACTGGTTTGGTCTTAGGTCCTATTGGTCAGGATTGGAACCCAAGCCAATACCCTGGCAGCAAGGGAGGCCAGGCAAGCAAGGAACTGGCTTTTTAGCCTCTGTAGGCTTTGGAAGGGTGGCTCTACAAGATAGGAAGGAGGCTGGTGATGCTGTTGGGTAGGCATCAGTCTTTCCAGGAAACCTCCTTCACTTTCCGTAATTTTGTTTGTTTGTTTGTTTGTTTGTTGTTGTTTGAGATGGAGTCTCGCTGTCGCCCAGGCTGGAGTGCAGTGGTGCAATCTTGGCTCACTGCAGGCTCCGGCCCCCGGGGTTCACACCATTCTCCTGCCTCAGCCTCCCGAGTAGCTGGGACTACAGGCGCCCGCCACCTCACCCGGCTAATTTTTTGTATTTTTAGTAGAGACAAGGTTTCACCGTGTTAGCCAGGATGGTCTCAATCTCCTGACCTCGTGATCCGCCCGCCTCAGCCTCCCAAAGTGCTGGGATTACAGGCGTGAGCCACGGCGCCTGGCCACTTTCTGTACTTTTTATGTGGTCAGGTTAGTGCTGAAGTTTTTCTTGAAGTATACATATTTAACTCCTGACTTGAAGTATACATATTTAACTCCAGACTTCCCGTTGAATTGTCACTTTGTATTACAGAGGAAGTAGGGTAAGCTTAATTAATTTTTAGAAAACATATTTGTAACTATTTAATTCAATTCTACCAAGTGTCAGGTTCTGTGTTGAGTACTTGATACACATTATACTATTTGATAAAGCATGGTTTCTGAAAACTGCAGGTCATCGTCTAGTTACCTTCCAAAGCACTGCATTTTAGTATGAATAAAAATAAAGCTGGATGATAGAAAGCACTGTGAATCAATTTTCAATATGCTCAAGAATCAACATTACAGAAAGCAGACATCTTATTATCTTGGCCAAACTACATAAAGTGTTGGCTTAGCTTTTAGCTATGGCTTCAAATCAATGCTGATAATGGTGACAGAAAACACAACAGAAAACTAAAACATATCTGGCATTTTCCTGTCAAATGAAGCAAACACTCCTTGGGAAATGAAACGTTGGTCAAGAATTTAGATAAATTCACCAGGACTATTCCAGGACTTATCAAAATCTCTCCAACTCCTTCTAATTTACTTAAATATTTGCTGCAGAAGTAGCGCACTCTGCCAGTTATTTGTAATGCATAAATTGTTGTACATTCTACTTTGGAACATGGGCTTGCCTGTAAATCTGCTGAGCTTAAAGAATTAATGTTTGGAAACTATATTAAAACAGTCACAATCACATCCCATCACTCTCAAGCAAATGGCTACACTACAGATATAATAGAAGCTACTACGGATGTAGTAAAGAAAGTTATTGAAGGAATTGTCCAATGAAACTAGACAGATGCCACATCACACACATGGCCAAAGATGGAGTCAGGTCTGTTCTTTAACCAATTGTGCAGGACTTCTCAATACTTGGCTACATCTATACTTCTAGATGTATAGGCTCAATAGATTTCAGCATCCTTTGTTATCAAACTTGGGTGGCCAAATGAATAACATAAGGAACATGTGAAAAACATAGATTCTTGTAACTTTTTTCAAAATGTCTATTCAAATATCTATTCAGTAGATCTGTGTTAAAGTAAATTAATCTGCCTTTTTTGAGACGGATTCTCGCTCTGTCGCTCAGGCTGGAGTGCAGTGGTGCAATCTCGGCTCACTGCAAGCTCTGCCTCCCGGGTTCACGCCATTCTCCTGCCTCAGCCTCCTGAGTAGCTAGGACTACAGGCACGTGCCACCATGCCCGGCCAATTTTTTTTTTTTTTTTTTTTTTTGTATTTTTAGTAGAGATGGAGTTTCACTGTGTTAGCCATGATGGTCTCGATCTCCTGACCTCGTGATCCACCCGCCTCAGCCTCCCAAAGTGCTGGGATTACAGGCATAAGCCACCATGCCCGGCCATGAATCTGCATTTTTAACACATGCTCCATGTAGTTTTGATGTAGATAGACCACAAACCACAATTTAAGGAACACTGGTCTAGATGCTGCTTGCTTGACATTTGCTTTGCAACTTTAAGTTATAAAATGTCTTTGCAAGTAACTACGAATTTGGCCTAAAAGAGGACTCCTTTAAAACTGAGAGTACAGAGCTAACCTATACAATAGTTAGATATCAGATAAATGAAAGTGACATTACCATGTTGACCGGCATGAGGTTTGTACATGCAAGCAAATATACACATACACACACACCAGCCAAGTGACTTAACAGAGGCGGAGGCTTTGTATCTATCCGTATTCATGATGCTAATAAAGACATACTCGAGACTAGGAAGAAAAAGAGGTTTAATTGGATTTACAGTTCCTCACGGCTGGAGAGGCCTCAGAATCATGGTGGGAGGCAAAAGGCCCTTCTTACATGTTGGCAGCAAGAGAAAATGAAGAAGCAAAAGCAGAAACCACTGATAAACCTATCAGATCTTGTGAGACTTACTCGCTATCACGAGAATAGCATGGGAAAGACTGGCCCCCATGATTCAATTACCTCTTCCTGGATCCCTCCCATAACACATGGGAATTCTGGGAGATACAATTCAAGTTGAGATTTGGGTGGGGACACAGCCAAACCATATCAGGCTTTAAGAAAAATCTCATCTTCATCACATAGCAAATGAATTATCCTGTGTAACAGAGACATAATTTAAAGAAAATTACAACTATCTTAATATCATCCCAAATTTCTGTAATCAAGCCACCTAATAGTTCTTTACCTACTGGTATAGCAAAGATAAACTGAAGGCACCCTCTTCCAGAACATTTTTTATTAATGTTAGGGTAAACGTTGAATAGCCAAGTAATTAAGAATGCTTACACATTGCCCTGACAAATGTCCCTATCTCCCCATACAGTTTCCAAGAAAGATATGTGCAAAATATAGGAGCAGGGTGCTTAGAATAAAAGAACCACTAAGTGAATGGCAGCATGAGATCCTTATTCCATTTCGCTCTGTTACATGACAGAATTGGAACAAGTAAGCTTTTGTCTGGAGAGCTAAACTGGACCTTAAACTTTCTTCCTACAAATTGAAATGTTGAGACAATTATACTTGTTAAATACATAGGAGGAGGGAGGGAGGAAGAGATGCAAGACAGAGAGGAGGGTACAGAGAAGAGAGAAAAAGAGAGAGAAAATGAATGAGTGGTAAAAATGGAGAGCAGGCCCTGACCTGAAATACTTGCCATATTCTAAGGGAAATTGAAAAATAAGGAACCTTATTATTTAGGATAACAGGCTCTTCCTATAATAAATTTACTTATTATATAAAGAGCAATCACAGGGGAGAGGGGTAGATGCCATTTCCACATTTAAGGACTTCAGCCATGCCATAACAACCGTGTGGCCCAAGGAGCACTTTAGAATCTGAGCAGTCTTACTAGCACCTGCTTATTGGCAGCAAGTACGAAAGAGATGGAAAGTGGAAGAGAAGTGCAAGTTTGTTCCTGTTATGGTTTCCTTGATCATTGGTTTTGACATTGAGATGGAATGTCCCATCTCTTTCTTCACCTCTATCCACCTTTCTAAAGCTTATCCATCATTAAGGGTTCAGCTCAAACCCCCTCTCCTGCCTGACATCTGTTCACACACTTTTTTCCAGTCTGATCCATGCCATTCATTTGCCAGCTCACCACTGGATAGATTTTGAGCATTATACATCGGTGAAAGTAATCTAACCCTTGTATAAATTCACAGAATAATCAGAAGGGGATCTTAGAAATGTTATTACGTCTTGTCTCTTAACTGAATTCTTATTTCTTAAACACAGCAACTGTGCTTTGAATATTTTTGTCATCTTTGTATCTCCCATAATGTATAATTCAGACATTTCCTTTCTTTTGAACATTCAATTTACAAACTTTCATAGTCAGAAAGGTTCTCATGAAAAGTGAAGCAATTTGCCAACCAACCACAGCTCTCTGGGAGTGGTCTCCTGAGATGTGACCGTCAAGTCCCTTATTAAATAATAGCATATCTAAAGTACGATCACACTGCAACTTACTGGTGATTTCTAAAAATCAAAAAGAAGGAATATTTAGAAAATGTTTTAGAGGGTTAAAAAAATCAGAAATTTCAAATAGTCACAGTTCTTCTACAAAACTTACTTTTATATAAATCGGCTCATAAAGATTGCTTGTAAAGTATTCCAAAACTTTTTATTTTTATTTTATTTTTTTAAATTTTTATGTATTTATTTTTTGACACAGAGTCTCTCTCTGTCGCCCAGGCTGGAGTGCAGTGGCACAATCTACGTTCACTGCAACCTCTGCCTCTCGGGTTCAAGCGATTCTCATGCTGCAGCCTTCCAAGTAGCTGGGGCTGCAGGCACGCGCCACCACACTCGGGTAATTTCTGTATTTTTAGTAAAGACAGCGTTTCGCCATGTTGGCCAGGCTGATCTTGAACTCCTGGACTCAAGAGATCCATCCGCCTCAGCCTCCCAAAGTGTTGGGATCACAGGCATGAGCCACCACCCCCAACCTCAGTATTCCAGGACTTTTAAATAAATAAACTAATAACCAGCCTTTTGGATCCTGATTTGGTCATAAGTTAATGAATATTTGGTACCCTGTACTCCATATAATAATTACCCAGTACATTTGATGTGATTTTATTTTAACTGCTTTGACTCTACAACTACATTTTAATATTTTAAAAGCCGAGCACCACATTCCCTGTTTCTTTTACAAATCCCTCAAAAGACCAACCCCTGTGCTAAACAGCATTGTCAGTCATGGACAGAGAACCAGTTAACAAATCAGCATCAAAACAAGTCCACGGCACATACATATGTGTGTGACTCTACATGCGAATGAAGACATTCGGATTGGTACTTAATGCATTTTAATAGACCAGAAAATTCAGATTGGTACTTAATGCAATTCAAAAGTCCGAGTGCTGCAAACAGCCACCACCTTTTGGGGCCATTTGGAGACCCTTAGTATCAAGCAGACGGTAAGCGGCAGAGTCCCTAACAGATTTGTGCTTCTGGCAACACTTTGTAATAAGGAACAGGAAAGGAATGTTGAGTGGCCAATACTTCCTAGAAAGCATTCTGGGACAAGAAAGGAAGGAAAGAACCTTGTGAAGATCCTCGGGCACTCGAATACAGCAGAATGTGCAAGTTCAGGTCCAACAACCCGTTTTATTCAGCTAGAGGCACCCAGGAAGTGTATCACCTTGGGTATGTACCCTAGAGTTCCTGTGTCTCAGTTTACTCTACTATGAAATGGGGGTGACAAGAATAGCAAGTCCTATCTCATACAGACACTCTGAAGCTTAAAATTGTTTGTGCGTGCAAAGTGTTTAGAGCTTCTGCCTGTCACCTAGCAAATGCTCAGTGAGTGTCAGCTACTGTTTTCATGGTGTTGGGTCTAGACTTTAGTCCTGGTTCTGCTGCTATGTTGCCTTATGACTGTATTTTACCTCACCTGAGAAATTAAAATATTTAAACGAGATGAGCTCTAGTGCTAATTCTAACTTGGGTTATTAAAAAAAGAGAATGCATATGGTATTTGGGAGAAGAATACAGATAAGAAAAAAACAGAGCAGAATAAATTAATTGACAGAAACGATTCTGTCCCCCTTTCCATAGCCAAAATACACAGCAACTAAGAGAGGAAATAGGATATAGGAAGAGTTAGTGACAATATAAAAAGAAAGAAGAGGCCATATTTCATTTAGGGCTCTATTACTTTTATTAACTGGGATATAAATTCACTCAGAACTTTTAATTCTTCAAATAACAAGAGCATCATAAACACCATTATCTGTTTCCTTGTGCCTGTAGCATTTACTGTAATTCCTTAGATTAAAACCACGGCCCCTAATGTTACAGGACAAAGATGGAGTGAGAAAGGCTTAATGCAATTCAAGATATTCAAAGGTAAAAAGCTGCAAATGAAAATTATCACAATGAGCAAGAATAAAATTATTATAAAACTGTCACATTTCTAATATTTCATATCACTTCTGACCATAAGCTCTGCAGCTATAAAAGCAGTATCTTTTACTCCCCAGTGTGCAGTAGTGATGGTTTGCATTCTTCAAGGCTTATGATGTTAAAATGCCTTTAATTATGTTCTGGATAGCTATTTGTAAGGCATTCTTAAACCTCTCCAAGGTCAGTGTCTTTCTTCTCACTGATTCTCAGATCATCACTCTATGATTCTAGCTTCACTGACACAATATTCATTTTATCCCTGGGAAAGACAGAATTGCTGAATTGGTCACACTGGCATCCGGGACGGGAGCAACTATTGTCCCGAAAGGTTGCTTTGCTGAACACTTGATGTCTGCATTGGTCTCCTCTGTCATTCTTTAGAGGTCAGCCAAATAGAAAATTCAGATTGGTACTTAATATAATTCAAAAGTCCGAGTGCTGCAAACAGCCACCACCTTTTGGGGCCATTTGGAGACCCTGAGTATCAAGCAGATGGTAAGCGGCAGAGTCCCTTAAAGATTTGTGTTTCTGGCTACACCTTGTAATAGGGAACAGGAAAGCAGTGTTGAGTTGCCAATCACAGTACTAGGTAGGCACCTTGAAAACGGAAAATGTAACTCTATCCATACTTTATTCTGAATTTAAACAATTGCTGGCTATGCTGCATACAGTAATAGACTTTACTCTCAAACCATTCATTTAAATGCTCCGGCACCAAAACCCAAAAAAGAATCAACTTCATGGATCGCTGGCCTTGTTAGCAAGTAGAAAATGGGATAAGTTGTATTTCAGAAGCACTGGCTCACCAAGTTCTGTGTTAAGGGCACAGCAACATTGGAAATGTCCCTGTTTTCAGGGATTTTATTTTTATTCACACACACACACACACACACACACACACACACACCATACATCTGTTTTCCCTGTGTGAAATTTCTGAAAGGCTGTGAAAAGCTCAAAGCCACACAGAAAGAAGACCAAGTACAGAGTGGGGTATAGATACATTTCCAGGGGCTACCCAGGTAGTGATGAATGACTTTTCCTTTAATAATTTTTAATAATAATTGTATTGTGATTTTTCTGATTATTAAGAAAAGTTTATGCTGACTATAGGAAATTTAGAAAATACAGAAATATTATGAAATAAGTTCTACTACTCAGGAACTACCACTGATAACGTTTTGTTGTATCTTTAATGAGTCGTTTTGCTAAGTGTTGTTGCATTGTTAATTTGTTTTGCACCTGTTCACTTCTAGCCTAGCTCTAATCATTACTTAATTACTTTGCATATTTACTTGTTTATTGTCTGTTACCCAGCCCTGTCCCAAAACCCTCTTCCTGCACTAGAATGTATGCTCCCAAGAGGAAAAGAGTTTTGTCCTATTCTTTGATTTCACAGAACCAGGGACATATCTGGCACTCAACAGATTACAGAATGTATGAATCAATTGAGATATTACTGAGTATGTAACTTTAGCTCTTAGCTTTCTCTCACAACATTATAACAATAAAATGAGTGCATCTTGGAGTTAATGGAGAATCTATATCAGTCCACTAACCCCTCAATCTCACCACTAACTCCAAGCACTGCAAGAGTGGCAAGTTCCATGCAGGCTTTGAAGGGCTTCAGGCAGGCACAGTTGGAGAGGGTCTCATGCAGACTTTTGCTTCCAGCATGAAGGTTTCTCTGATTCTACAAACAGGGGCACTCGTGGGGACCCTATGTACAAACTGGAGTTTTGTGCATGAGGCCGCTCTTGACCAAAGAGAGGCAGGATCTCCCCATTTTGTTACTAAGGAAGATAGTTCTGACCTCTGTTTGATAAGACACCTCTGAAGGTCCTGGCAGGTTTGAACTCCAGTCAGCCATGAACAACACAAAAACACATCCTTATTTTGGCTCTTTCTATGCCACTCTCTTGTGTTCTGCATACTTGCACCATGGAATCTCATCCTAAAAAAAAAAAAAAAGACCTGCACACAAGCCTTCATCTCAGATTCTCCTTCCTAAAGGACCAGCCTAAGAAAAACAGAATTTTATACATTATTATAAGTTATTCTAAACATAATTTAAATGGATGTATAGTACTATGCTAATATGAATTACTATAGCCTATGTAATCATATTTTAATATTTCTGGACATTTAGGTGGTGGATGGCTTCTTAAAGATAAAGCTGTGATGAGAATTTTCACATGTAAAGCCTTTTCCTCATTTAGGAAA
The DNA here is from genome assembly GCF_000001405.40 of Homo sapiens. Classification (NCBI taxonomy): domain Eukaryota; kingdom Metazoa; phylum Chordata; class Mammalia; order Primates; family Hominidae; genus Homo; species Homo sapiens. The sequence continues at coordinate 180,212 of NW_025791774.1, read as the reverse complement.
TTAAGTCGACAGTAAGAATGCTTTTTCAGCTTTTGATCACATTGACAAATTACTTTTGAACAAAGGTTGTACCACTTTATGGTCTCAGCAGCAAAAATGAGCCTGTTCCTTTTATTGCACCCTTGCCAGTACCGAGTATCATCTTAGTTTTATTTTTGATAATTTGGGAGGTAGAAATAATTTTTATTTTCATTTTTATTGCTTTTATTTATATTATTTTCTCTCTTAGTAATTCTATTCTCTTCTCAAAGAACAATACTTTTGGAATTTTGTGAGACTCTTGAGTCACACATACTCAATGACTTGAGCCAAGTCACCTGGGAGATGACCATCAGACTAAATGAGGGTTGGAGAGGAAATCTAAGGGAAGTTGTAAGTTGCAACAAAAAGGAGAAAAGAACTCTTCAATTTAATAAATATGGATGCCTACTACATGCTGGGCATATTGGGAGATATTAGAGATCCACAGGTGAAAAATGCACAAAACTGTCATTTTGAAGCTAATAGTCTAATGATCATGCTGAAGAGAGAACTGAATGTCTGAACTGAAATCATTTTAGAGGAAAATTATAGAGGAACTTTCATTATGTTTGGTTTGACTGGATAGGGGAAAAACTAGTCCCAAATCCGCCTCCGCACCCCCACCATAGTAGATTAGAAAAAGTGGATTGTTCAGTTTCCATTTAGTTTAGCATTGAAAGAAATTAGATAATGCTGGTGGTTTAGAGCTGGATATAGCTGAGGCTCAAGTGATACCAAAAGGGGTAGAAGGCAATGTGATATTATGATAAGAAAGCCTGAGCATAGGAGCACAGGAGTCAGGCAATTCTGGTTTCATGACTAAATTTAACCACTTCTAGCTTATGGCCTTGGGCAAGTTAACTTCTCTAGTCTTCTATTTTCTTATCTGTAAAATGAAACTTATAATACCTTCCTGCTAAGGTTGTTATGAGGCTTTAAATAAGATAGTATGTGGAAGAGATTGGCAAATTTATAATGGCACAAAACAACCAATAAAAGTCGTTAAGAAAAACAGTTAATTTTTAAAATCAAAGACAAAAAATTCCTCCTAAGGATAAGAACTACCTTTGTTATACAAAATAGATCAATATGACAATATCAATGTTATACAAAATATATCAATATTTATTTGGGTATAAAAAAAATAGACCTAAATCCAGAGGCTAAAAACTTGGGGAAAGACTGCAGAAGACAGAAACAATGAAGAAGGTAAGAAGCAGGAACAAAGAATTAAAAAGGATTGACTAAAGAGAGATCACCCAACAACTTTTTCAAGAATGAAGGATGTAAAACGGCCACTAAAAAGCTGTTTGATGGGCAATGCTGAGATATAATCCTGCCTTCTTATCCCAAACTACAACAAAATTAACACCTCCAAGAAACATTCTATACACATAGTCTACTACAAGTTAACTAAAATGTACATATAGATTGAAGGTTATTAGAAGATCTCTTTTGTTGTAATTATAAAAGTGATGCATACATACCTAAGATATTAGTAGCTACAAATCTTTGGATGTGAATCGAATGTCCTCTCTTCAAATTAAGTTTCTCAAGTTGACTGCCTTGTCATCTTTCTTACATAAACAATACCAGTAATGCAGCATTAATTTCCATTTTGGTTTCCTTAAAGTGCTTACAGAAAGTTAAAACCCAAGCATTGTTTTAAATCTTAGAAGCATATTTTTTAAAATCCAGGTTTGTATTTTCTTTGCCAATAAAGCTTTCCTATAAATTTAATAAACTTCTGATTTATTTGCTTCCAGTCATTTACATGTACAAATAATGATATCATAAGTGCTCTTAGAAACTTTGTTTTTAAATATAATTTACTTCTTTGTTTTCTTGTCCCCCACCTCTCCCTCCCTCTCTCTCTCTCTCTCTCAGTTTAATGGTAGATATTTTAATATCATCTGGAACAATGAATGTGGTAGCCACACCATTAATGTGATTTTATCCTGAGTCATTTTATCTACTGACAGGCTTTGCTAGTTGCTGCTTTCAGATCTTTTGGCTTTCCCAATTCTGCAAGATTATGAGTTTCTAGAACCTCTATATTCCCTTTTATTGTGCTTTGAAAGTAATCCTATCTCTCTTGAACAAATTGTATCTTTTAAAATATTGTCATAGGCCTTTGCATACCTAGAGGAGACCTGGGCCCTAGAAAGAAGAAGAATGAGCTCTGGCAGTTAACTGCCCCACTCGAGCCCTTCTTATTTTCTTTAAAACTCTCAACATGCCCTCCTCCCTGACATCATCTTATTAAAGTATAATAATAAGTGTTTTTTTGTAGGGCATTGGAAAAACATTAAGTTTTAAGAAAGAGGGATAGGAGATTAAGATGGCAGATAGGAGATTAAGATGGCGGATAGGAGATTAAGATGGTGGATAGGAGATTAAGATGGTGGATAGGTGGCAGGACTTGCAGCTCCTGCTATGACAGACATAGTGAACTCTGCTTTAAGTGAACACACATAGTGAACTTTTGCTTTAAGAATTACCTCAGGAAATACCAGGAAATATCAGGAAAGCTGAGAGAATCCACAAACCCTTTGAAGGAACTGAATTAGTGCTGCAGGCTTGCTGAGATGTTGAAAAACTAAGTTGGCTTGCTTTCTCAATGGGGAGGCTCATGGTCTGGAGCAAGTTCTCAACTCCAGTCAACAGCTGCCTGGAAACAGACTTGGTGCTGTTGACGGGCCACAGTGGGAGTGAGACCGGCCTTTGGGACTGCAGGCTGCATGGGAGTGGGGTGAGGTCTGAGACTGCGAGCTTTCCCCAACTTCCCTGGCAACCTGTATGGCTCAGCAGAAGCAGACATAATACCCCTGGGAATATAATGCCATTGGACTGGGAACCACACCCCTATCCTCCACAGCAGCCACAGCAAGCCCTGCTCAAGGAGTGGCTGAGCTCAGACACGCCTATCCCTGCCCCGACCTGGTGGTCTTTCTCTACCTGCCCTGATAGCAGAAGACAAAGGTCACAATCTCTTGGGAGCTCTATGGCCCTGCCCACCACCTGAGAAACCTGAACACTTGCCCAGATGTCCCTAGGATAAGTTTGCATCCTCCCTATAGGATCACAGCTGATGCACTCTTGAAAGCACCACCTCCTGGCTGGAGGCCAACCCACACAAAACAGGTGCACTAAACAAAAACACAACCAAAGACCCTTACAGAGTCCACTTCACTCCCCTATTACCTCCACTGGAGCAGGTGCTGGTATCCATGGCTGCAAGACCTGAAGATGGATCACATCACAGGACTCTTTGCAGACATTCCCCAGTACCAGCCCAGAGCCTGGTAGCTCCTCTGGGTTGCTAGACCCAGAAGAGCAAAAACAGTCACTACAGTTCGGCTCTGAGGAAGCCCTATTCCTAGGGGAAGGGGGAGAACACCACATCAAGGGAGCACCCCATACAACAAAAGAATCTGAAGAGCAGCCCTTGAATTCAGATCTTCCTTCTATCAATGAGAAGGAACCAGAAAAATAATTATGGTAATATGACAAAACAAGTTTCTTTAATACCCCCAAAAGATTATACCAGTGCACCAGCAATGAATCCAAACCAAGATGAAATCACTGAATTGCTAGAAGAAGAATTCAGATGGTCCATTATTAAGCTAATCAAGGAGGCATCACAGAAAGGTGAAGTACAACTTAAAGAAATAAAAAACATGATACCAGATATGAAAGGAAAATTCTTCAGTGAAATAGATAGCATAAATAAAAAACAATCACAACTTCAGAAAATCAAGGACACACTTAGAGAAATGCACAATGTACTAGAAAGTCTCAGCAATAAATTCAAATAAGTTGAAGAAAAAACTTCAGAGCTTGAAGACAAGGCTTTTGAATTGACCCAATCTATCAAAGACAAAGAAAAAAACAATTTTTAATGAACAAAGCCTCCAAGAAATTTGGGGCTATGTTGAACATCCAAACCTAAGAATAAGTGGTGTTCCTAAGGAAGAAGAGAAATCTAAAAGTTTGGAAAACATGTCTGAGGGAATAAACAAGGAAAACTTCCCTGGCCTTGCTAGAGATCTAGACATCCAAATACAAGTAGCTCAAAGAACACCTGAGAAATTTATCACAAAAAGATCGTCACCTAAGCACATAGTCATCAGGTTATCTAAAGTCAAGAAGAAGGAAAGAATCTTTAAGAGCTGTGAGGCAAAGGGATCAGGTAATCTGTAAAGGAAAACCTACCAGATTAACAGCAGATTTCTCGGCAGAAACCCTACAGCTAGAAGGGACTGGGGTCCTTTTTTAGCCTCCTTAAACAATACAATTATCAGCCAATAATTTTGTATCCAGTGAAACTAAGATTCACAAATGAAGGAAAGATAACAGTCTTTTCCAGACAAGTGCTGAGAGAATTCGCCACTACCAAGCCAGCACTGCAAAAACTGCTAAAAGGAGCTCTAAATCTTGAAACAAATCCTGGAAACATGTCAAAACAGAGCCTCCTTAAAGCATAAATCTCACAGGACCGATATAACAATAACACAATGAAAAAAAAAAAGGTATTCAGGCAACAAATAGCATGATGAATAGAATAGTACCTCATATCTCAGTACTAACATTGAATGTAAATGGCCTAAATGCTCCACTTAAAAGATACAGAATGACAGAATGAATAAGAATTCACCAACCAACTTTCTGCTGTCTTCAGGAGACTCGCCTAAACCATAAGGACTCACATAAACTTAAGGTAGAGGGGTGGAAAAAGGTATTCCATGCAAATGGACACCCAAAGCAAGCAAGAATAGCTATTCTTATATCAGACAAAACAGACTTTAAAGCAACAGCAGTTAAAAAAGACAAAGAGGGACATTATATAATGATAAAAGAACTAGTCCAACAGGAAAATATCACAATTCTAAATACATATGCACCTAACACTGGATCTCCCAAATTTATAAAACAATTACTACTAGACCTAAGAAATGAGATAGATGGCAACACAATAATAGTCAGAGACTTTAATACTCCACTGACAGCACTAGATAGGTCATCAAGACAAAGTCAACAAAGGAATGGACCTAAACTATACCCTACAACAAATGGACTTAAGAAATATTTGCAGAACATTCTACTCAACAACTGCAGAATATATATTATTTTCATCAGCACATGGAACATTCTCCAAGACAGACCACATGATAAGCCACAAAACAAGTCCCAGTAAATTTAAGAAAATCGAAATTATATCAAGTACTCTCTCAGACTACAGTGGAATAAGTTGGAAATAAAAACCTCTCCAAAGGAGACAATCAGATATGCATTTATCTCAGAGAGCAGAGGGATGACTTTGAATAGAATGGGAGGCATGTTGGCCATAAACAGTTCCTAGCTTGACTTTTCCCTTTAGCTTTGTGATTTGGGAGCCCCAAGATTTATTTTCCTTTCACAGTATACACATCTATTCAGATGTGTTCTCTCTGAGGCAGAGAGGAGAGGAGAGAAGACCTAGTAGAATTGAGTGCTCCTGGTTTGATTTATTGTAGGCTGCTCTGGATCTTGGATATGGGTTTGTCTGACAGCAATGCCTGCATGCCAAGACAGTGTGTTAACTCCCTTAGTACTTGTGAGCATACAAAATTTCATTCATTATGGGCTATATCTCTTCCCATACAGCACTATTCCACCATGAAAAGCAAAGCAACAGATTACTGTTTAACAAAAAGATGACAGTTAATAAGGCTTGTATTTATTTTAAAGTTGCCTGAATAGTGTCTGCTCAGCCCCTGAAGAAAGTAGGATAAAATAATGGTATACAGTTTAATAAAATATGCAAGGACTTTGAGCATTAAAATTGTTATTATCAGTATTACCATTATCAGTAGGGAAGTTGTATACCTAATTCTCCATACATTATGTAAAAAAAAAGCATTATGTATAATACAATGCTAAAGACAATGTTAATACAATGCTAAAGACAATGTTAATACAAAAATTAACTACAGGAAATTGTTAAAGGGAAAGAATGGAATTTTACAAGGACAGATCTGAAAGATGGTAGCAAGAAGATATTGTCAGCTTCTAGAATTACTACAGAGAGTTCTCTACTATAGAGATCTGAAAAATTTCATTCATGAAAATTCTGTCTATAGTCATTTGCATTTTCATAAGTGATGCGTACAAAGACTAGTTGTTAAAATGGAATATTGACTTTAAGTTGACAACAAATCAACAACTAAGAGATGCCCAAGAACATATTCATGCAAACTATCATAACTTGCCAGACATTTTACTTTGCCAAAGAGAAATACAAGAACAACATGATCAAGATTCCTACCCAGCTGGATGAGTGAAGCAAACAAGTATAGAGGTTCTATGTTTGCATAGTGAGTCCCTGTCTCTCAGTTCTGTCTCATATTACTTGCATAATGAAATTTTAGTTGAATGATCACTATGAGGTTGGTTGGGTCAAAGAATTTTTTTAAATACCAAGGAGTACGTAATATTTGAGCTAAATCTTGAAGGAAAAATGAGGGCATTTCCAAGTGGAGAAATATTTATCTAGCAGGGATGAATGAAGAGAAAGATTGTTTTCTCCACTCAAAGTTTAAGGTAACACACAAGTTATGGATATGTAAATCCTGAGAAGTTTTGAGTGCTTTCATTGAGGGTGGAGATGAGACTTGGAGGTAGATTGAGACATATTATGAAAGATATCTATTCCAAAATGAAGAGCTTGCACTTTCTCCTACAGAAGATCCTGAGCCTTCAGGGGATTTTTTGCAGGGAAGTGTTGGATGCAGGTTTGGTTCTATCAGGAGGAGAGCTCATGCAACAGCATGGAGGATGGATTGGGAGAAGGGTACCACATCCTAGGCCCTGTGTTTGCAGCCACACCAAGAAGAAGACACTGTCACTGCCTTCTAGGTACTTACAGCCTAGTGGAAGAAGCAGGTAAAATCAGAGGACAAAATTTTGTTATACAAAGTCTAATAAGTGTTATGATAAAGGTAAGCACAGTAGTGCATTGGAACTACAGATAAGAAACACCTACCTTCTAATGGAGAAGTTGTGGAGGGCTTCCAGGAGAAAATGTCGACTAAACTGCCTCTTGGAACTTAAATAAAGGCATATATACTGAACTTTAATTTACTACTCCGGCCATACCACGGGGTTAAGAGATCATAACTGAATTGTATTCAACTGCATGTATTTCTTTTGGAACATAGCAGGGTAAAAATACAAGGATAATTAATTTAATACATCAGTAAAGTCACAAGAACAGTATTTAATCTTGTTAAACACAGGAATGTTTAATTGTTAGTCATGCACAGAAAGTGCTTATCAAGGTCCGGACACCAAAGAAACTTCAAGAGAATTAGCAGAAGTGCCTGAACTGTGGCCAGTGGAATTCCCACATTGGGAAAATTGTTAGAATGGGTGATATGTACCTCTAAGCCCCTTTGAGTGCTGATACCTTCCAACTCAAGAAGCTTATAGCCTAATTGGTGAAACAGATTTCATGCCAGAAAAAATAAAGGGCTATAGCAAGGCTCAAAAACAGCAGGAACAGCTGTGTTGGTAGAAACTGAAACTTACATGAGGTTCTGAGAAACGAACCTAGAAATATAAGCCAAAGGGTTTTGGGCAGACAGAACAGTCTGTACTGAAGATACTGAAACAAACAAAAGCTTGGTTTCTCTTTTTCTCCCTCCTTTTATTCCTTCCTTCCTTCCAACTGATATTCACTGAGCTTAGAATTTTTTTAAAAAATCGAAATCACATTTCTTCTCTGGAAGTGCTTGCAGTTGAGTGAAAGAACACCAAAAGGAAAACCCTCCTTCCCCTCCTAAGCTTCATTCTACCTTCTGGAGACACGAATAGGGGTCGATCAGGGAATATATCCCAAAAGAGGTAATGCCCAAGCTAAATCCTGAAGGAGCTTAGAAAGTATTCCAGACAGAAAAATAGCTCATGCCCAAGCAGGATACAGAGTGTGGTGTCTTCAAGGAACTCCAAGGGTTTGCCTATAGTAGAAACTTGCAGTGTGCTGGAGAGAGATGAGGGGTAACATCAGAGGGGCAGTCTAATGATAACTCCCAAGACAGGAGAGTGACCTGGCTTGTAGTAGGGAACAGTAGGAAATCAGGTTGAATAGGTCATTTAAGGTCCTGCTAGCTAGAGGACAGCAGATGGACTTTACATAAAAATGGTTCCTGATAGTCCTTCAGAACTGTGTTTGCTAAGCAGTTTTGCACACTTGAAAGCAATCTGGGTACATTTAAGCCTTCCAACTATAGTTTGTGTTACCTGTAATTATTATTAATTAAGGCAGAGGCTTGTGTATATGAAAGGAGTCTGAAAATCTACAGGGTTCATTTTTGTATTTGTCAACTTTTATTTGAAAACAGCAGGTGAAATTCTGATTTGAGCAACGTTTAGCCTCAAACTATCATGCAGATTGTTTTGGTAACTATGTAATTGCAAAAGACTGCTTTGGTCGAAGCTCCTGAACACTTTTTATTGCTAATTTTGGCAATAAACCTGTTAATTAGTTAATTGTAAAACATTAGCGAATCAAGCAAAAAGAATCCATCTGTTTATAAAATTTCAAAGATCTCTTCTGGGCATAACATTTAAAAACAAGAGCTGGCTTGCCCTGTATTCCCTGCTAACTACAAACCATCGCTTTTGAATATTTGCACAGTCTCCTCCTAGGGATAAAAGGTGATATTTTAATGCAATCGTTTGCTGTACTTTAAGGTAATTTTGTAGGCTCATGGTGCTGCATACAATTTGTTTGGGGACTGTTGAAAACTGAAAAATTGGTAAGAGATATACAACTTCTTCATCTATTTCCCAAGCTGAAACTAGAAATAATTAGCCAAGCAGAAAGGAAGCAGGAGGGGATTCAACATAGAGAAGAACAATTTTAAAAGAAAGGAGAAAAAATGTCAAAGAACTGTACAAATTCCTAAGCAAACAGCATGTACACCTAGGAGAAGAGCAAGAGAGAAGACAGGTGAACCTGGCAGGAACCAGACTGTGAAAAAGTGAAATTTCCATACTTAGGGACCTTTCTGCAATTGTGCCATCAAAGTTACGGGAATCCATTGATAAATCTTCCATCTAGAAAGCATGATTAAGGAAAAACTTTTGGGGCTGGGCGCGGTGGCTCACACCTGTAATCCCAGCACTTTGGGAGGCTGAGGCAGGCAGATCACCTGAGGTCAGGAGTTTGAGACCAGCCTGGCCAACAAAGTGAAACCCCATCTGTACTAAAAATACAAAAAAATTAGCCAGGCATGGTGGCGCATGCCTGTAATCCCAGCTACTTGGGAGGCTGAGGCAGGAGAATCACTTGAACCTGGGAGGTGGAGGGAGGCGGAGGTTGAGCCAAGATGGCGCCACTGCACTCCAGCCTGGGAGACAAGAACGAAACTCCATCTCAAAAAAAAAAAAAAAAAATTTTAAGGAAACGCTGGCATCAGGCCAATCACCCATTTGGAAAACTGGGAAAAGTTCTAAGGCCTCTTCTTAGTGCCCAAAGGAAAGTATAGTAAAGATATCCAGGAAAAATCCAAGAATGAAGGAAGGTAAAAAGCCACCTAAATAGAAGCTGGAGATTTGGGTTCTAGTCTTAGCCCTACTGCTAACTAGCTGATAAACAAAGCCACATAACTTATCTGCCCTGGGTCTCTGCTTTTCTTTATAAATTGAAAAGTCTTTGGGGGACACAATTAGTCTGAGGTTAGGGGCATAGATTTAGTATCTCTATTCACAGTCACTTCTATTGATAGTTAAATTACTGATAGCTGTCTAGATACATAAATGGCTTTAAGGAACTCCCGCCACCTTAAGCACTGACTAATCTGACTTTATGACATAAAAGGTACAGGTCCAAGGGTCACATGGCAACATGAGCTGAGACACCCATAACTGAAAGTGTGTAGGCATTAGAAAATAAACAGGGTTTGAAATGTCAGAAACCAGAAGCTAGTCTCTTAAGAATTCTTCCAATCATCAAACATACAAAATCATAAACAGAAGATTTAATTTTCATGGACACCTAATCATAATGGAAGTTATTGCATGTGTTATAATCTGAATTTTTTGTGACATTGGCTTCTCAATATCAGAATGATTTCTATTGCTTCCTTTTATTGCTGATTTTCATGGCTTTTGTTTTGCATTCCATGATCTGCTTTTTTTCTCAGATCTTTAAAAATGAATTTTAAAATAACAAACAGTACCCTTTAGATACATCTAAATACAAATAACTTGTTTTTTGCTTATTTAAACATTCCAAAACATCTTAAATATCTTTGTAAAAGGCAATTAAAATAAAAATAGATTAGACTTCTGAACAGGAGCATCCAAGGATTGAAAACCTTTAAACATCCTACCTCTTATTCATGCTTTCCCTTTCTGTGGACCTTTTTTGTCTTAACACCACCACTCATGTCAACACCATGGAGGACTTAGTCACCACTATCTCACACGCTCATATCTCTGACTTAACTATAGCAGACCTACCTACAAGTTTTGGGTCAAAATTACATTTATTTCATTATTTTAAGGTCTTCTTTGCTTTAATATTCCTACCGGGGTTCCTAATGGGCATCTGTTACTAAGAACTGTGATCTGTTCACAAAGTTCTCACTTAACTATTCAGGAAAACTTAAACAAGAAGAGGCACCACAATGTGATGAGTTGGAAAGAACACTGAGCTGGGAGTCAGGAAATCTAGGCTCTAGCAAGTATTGACAGCCATGTAGCTTTTAATTTTACTTAATCTCTTTAAGTCCTAGTATGTTCAACTCTAAAAACAGAGAGCTGGGCCAGATATCATTTTAGTTTCCTTCCAGTTAAAATATTCTGGATTTTATTTCCCAGGTTGCTTTGTGGGGCATCATTTGCTTCCAGCCCAGGCAAGCAGAGGCCGGTGCTATTATGACTTGACAGCTGGAGCGATAGACAAAGAATTAAACCTTCCCTAAGTGCTCTTGATCCTCCTTTTTTTTTTGTAAATAAATGAAAAGACTTCATTTTCCAAAGCAAATCCTAACTTGCAGATGTCATTTTTTTCATGGGGAGGTTAAAAAAAAATAGCATTTAAAAATATGTCAGCATGTAACATTTCATTTGTTTCCATACTGTCTGATTTAAGGATAAAGATCTTATTTCAACACTGAAAGCAAAACCTCCTAAATTCATCTAGCTCACAGGATCATTTACATATCCAATGAAACATTTATTTTATCTGACCAGAAATGAAGATGATACAACATTCTTGGCGGAGATTAAAAATATATAAGGATGGAATATTGATGGCAATACACAATATACAGAAGAACAGCCCAGATGATGCACTGTGGATGCTGATAAGAATGAAATGCTTCCTAGCTAAAGTGAAATGATAACCTCAAAAGATATAGATTAATGACAGTAGTCTCCAAGATTGAAAAAGGAGAGGCGAGGATAAAAGAGGAATAAATTTAAGCATTTCAACAAAGGATGGAGAAATTTAAAGGATAATGTTAATTGAATTATGTGTTGTAACCAGATAATACTCTATTATACAAAGATGAAAGCCACAGTCATATCAAACCATCTAGTGGAAAGACGTCAACTTGAATCTGCAAGGGTTATTTTTAAAGTGGCAGACTCTAATATAAATCTGAATTTCAGAAGCACAATTCTACTTTAATCTTCTTCATTTATAATGGTGATAAACTTAGTTTGATTGCTCAGGAACATATATCTAGATTTATGGCCACATTGGGAAAACTGATTGCATTGTTACTTTTCATCCAGAATTCATTGATTCACTCTGTCTCTCTCTTCATATATATTTGGGATTATAAACACAGAGGGGAATTTTTTCTCCCCATGAGAGAGAGAGAGAAAGAGAGAAAGAAAGTGAGAGAGACACAGAGACAGACAGGGAATTATCCTCTGTGTCCATAATCCCAAATGGTTCAAAGTGTTCAAACAGCTCCATTTTATTTGTTCTTCATTCATTCAATAGACCTATCCTGAAAACCTTCTGTGTGAGAAGCACTGTGCTAAAGTTCAGAGCCTAGAAAAAATTAATATGCTTTTTGAGGACATGAGCTATATTATCTTTACCTTTCCATGCCTAGCAAGAGGGCCTAGCCTAATGCGTGTACTTGGTAAATGTTTGTTACAATGAACTAAACATCGCAGGGAGATAGCTATACAGGAAAATATTAACTATTAGTTAATGAAACCAAATACCATCTTACATGTCTAGAATCATTAACTCTAAAAGTCAGAAGAGATCTTACGTATCAGTTAATCTGTTGTTTCCTAACTTTGTGCAATGGAACAAAAGTAAGGGGTGTTACTACAACCAAAGGGAATGGGAGATTCCTTGGTCAAATAAGTTTGGAAAAAACAAAATCAAACAAGTTTTCTTACTTCTTAGAGACTTTGATATGCCAATAGTTTGTGTTTCTCTCAAAATGAAATATAGTAAATACATTTCCAACTTTATTTATCCAGAAGGTACTTTTATTGAGTCATATCTTTTGAAACTCATTTTCTGGGAAGAGTTCAACTGGTCCATTTCTTCTTGCTTTATCTCTCAATTCCAACTATCCTTCATCCAATGTGAGAGAACTAGCTAATTCTGCTTAAATAATCCTATGGATAAGGCAATCACCTTATTTTGGGGGCAAACTGGTTCTATCATTGGATAGCCTTAATTATTAGAGCTCTTTTGAATTCTGAGCTAAAATCTGCCTCACAGTCCACTAGAACAGGTATTGCCAAACTATGGTCTCTGTATAAAATCTGGCCTGTTGTCTATTTTTGTATGGCTTTCAAGCTAAGAATGATTTTTATATATTTTTACAGGCTGTTAATGAAGATATTCAACAGAGACCACATGTGGCCCATCAAGATTAAAATATTTATAATGTGGACCTTTTCAAAAAAGAGATGGCCCATTTATGCTCTAGGGAAGGGGTCTCCAGACTTTTTGATTATGTGCTGTGTGGTGAGCAGCCTCAAAGATACTCATCAATACAAAGATGAGGCTGGCTGCAGTGGCTCACACCTGTAATCCCAGCACTTTGGGAAGCTGAGGTGGGAGGATCACTTGAGGTCAGGAGTTCGAGACCAGCCTGGCCAACATGGCAAAACCCTGTCTTTACTAAAAATACAAAAATTAGCCAGGTGTGGTGGTGTGTGCCTGTTGTCCCAGATACTCAGGAGGCTGAGGCATGAGAATCACTTGGATTTGGGACTTGGAAGTTGCAGTGAGCTGAGATCACACCACTGCACGCCAACCTGGGTGACAGAATGAGATCCTGTCTCAAAACAAAAAACAAAAGCAAAAAACGAAGATGAATGCATCCTCTTATTCACACCCTTGTATAATCCACTCCCCTTGAGCATGAGCTGGATTTAGTGGTACTCCCCTCTCCTCCCCTCCCCTCGCCTCCCATCCCATCCCACCCTATCCCATCCCCTCCCATCCTATTCTATCCTATCCTATTTCTATTCAAATTGCTTCTATTTTATTCTGTTGAATAGAATATGGCAAAAGTGATGTATGCCTCTTCTAAGAGTAAGTTATTAAAAGATTTTGGCTTCTGAGTTGGATGTTCTCTCTCTCTCATTCATTCTCTTTTCTTTCCTCCATTACCCACTCTGAGGGAAGACAGCTGCCATATTGTGAGCAGCCCTATAAAAAGACAAGGAAAGGAGGAAGACCTCCAGTCAACAGCCAGTGAAGAACTGAGGTTCTCAGCCTATCATCAACAACCAGGTGGGTGAGCTTGAAACAGATTTTTCCCCAATTGAGCCTTCAGTGTGACCACAGCCCTGGCCAGGATTATATGAGAAACCTTGAGCTGGAGGCAGCCAACTAAACTGCACCCAGAGTCCGGACCTACAGAAACTGTGAGATAATAACTGCTGTTGTAAGCTGTTATTTGGAGTCGGGGGGTGGTGGGGCAGTAATTGCTATACAGCGGTAGATAACTAATACATATTCCCAATAGTAAAAATTTTTGGAGCATGCATTCTCCTTCCTTCTTCCTGTCTCTCTTTATATATTCTCTCTCTATATATATATACATATATATATATATATCTCTTTATGAATTAAACATGTGCTAAATATTCAAACTAAATATTAGTAAAGATTGCATCTTTTCTTAATATTATTTTGTTCAGCTCTATAAAGGTACAATTGGAAAATAAAATTGCATAAATCTAAAGTGTACAATGTGATGATTTGATATATGTATATATTATGAAATGATTACCACAATAAAATTAGCACATCTATTACTTAATTTAATTACCATTGTGTGTGTGTGCATTAAGAACGTTTCAGATGTACTCTTTTAGCAAATTTCAAGCATACAATACGGTATTGTGACTATAGTCACTGATGCTGTACATTAGATCCCCAGGACTTTTTCAGTCTTGTAACTAAATTTGTACCCATTTCCCACAAACCCCATCCCCTGAAAACCACGATTCTACTCTGTTTCTGTGAGTTTCACTTTCTTATATTCCACATATATAATCGCTTATTGTGAAGTATTTGACTTTCTCTGTCTATGTCACTTCACTTAGCATAATGTCCTCAAGATTCATCCACGTCACAATGTCTTGTTTCCTTTGGATATATACCCAGAAGTGGGATTAATGAATCATAAGGCAGTCATAATTTTAATATTTTCAGGAACTGCCATACAGTTTTGCATAATGGCTTTACCAATTTGCATTCTTGCCAACAGTGCAAAGGGTTTCCTTTTTTCCACATCTTCACCAACACTTGTTGTCTCTTGTCTTTTTGACAATAGCCATTCTAACAGGTATAAGGTGTTATCTCATTGTGGTTTTAATTTGCATTTCACTAATAATTAGTGATGTTGAGCACTTTTTCATACACCTGCTGGGCATTTGTGTATCTTCATTTAAAAAAGTCTATTTAAGTCATTTCCCCATATTTTAATTAGATTTTTTCTGCTATTGAGTTATATAAGTTACTTATAGTTTTTCTTAATTATTAAATAAAAATGAATATAGAGAGAAGTTTTAATAACTTGTTCTCATACCCACTAAATTGCGTTGTCCATCTCCAGATGTGACCACATTTACTTTGGAGAACACTACAATAGAGAGACACATAAAATTATAACAATATCAACACTCCCAAAAATTGTACACATAGGATAATTTTATTTATCTGATTACTATATCCTTCCAATAGAGTCAGATCTCTTTGTCTGAAATGTTTTATTTGTTCAGAAGTGTTAGCTCTTCATTTATATTAATCAACAGATGACTCATCACAGATGTTCACCTTGGAAGCCTATACTTAGGTCTGCAGAAAATTTTCAGATGTCTTAGAGAGTTTCTTTCTGTCTTAAGGGTTGCTTGGCTACTGAAGAGAAATGTTAACAGCTGTAGGAGAAGCAATTAGTGTCCATTCTGTCCTGATTGACAATTCTGCAAAATGCCCAGTAGCATTTTCTCTGGTTTTACAAAATGGCGACCTTCTGTTTCAGAGTGCTGGGTAGCTATTGAGTTCTGGTACAGTTATCATAATGTGGATGCCCCATGTGGCTCCCAATTAGGGAATCAAGCTTAATTTCACTCCCTGACCAGACTGAGATATAAAAGAGAAAGATAAGACCTTCATAGCGAGGTATGAACAGAGATTTCTAGCAAGCAGAATACATGAATATAAACTTTTAGAAGTATTCAATTAAAAATGCAAAGGCAGAGCTCTCTGAGAAACTGGGAGGCACTGGATGAAAGGAGAGAGATTAGTGAGAACCCGGCAATGAATGCACTGTTTTCATACAATGCCCTAATCAGGAGGACAAGTGGCAGTTGTTATGAAGCATTAAGATTCAGAACAATGCCTTTCCCAGGGAAGCAGTCACTACAAAACAAGGGCTACAGTCGCCACAAAACAAGACAATACTGACTTATACACATGAAAGAGAATAATTGCTTAAAGACGTTATGCCTGACATCTGGTGAGCCTCCTCAGTCTGGAAACAAAAATACCAAGAACTGGAAAATAGTGGGTTATTTTTCCTTTGGCTTCCAGACTTCCTATTTTTCTATATATTTTATATTATCCCAATTATCTTAGTTAGTGCATTAATATAGAAATACTATGGTTTTCCATTTTCCCTAATTAAGACTATTAAGAAGACATTTTATGCTCTTATTTTTTAATGAAATTCAATTTAAAGTCACTGTATCAGATCTTATTAACTACTACATTATAATACATAATATTTCATTGAGAGCAAAGTGCCTAAATCAAAAATTAGATCCAAACTTCAAGAATATAAACTATGATCGTGACAAAGCCATGGTCCTTTGCATATATTTCATCCTGTATAAAATAAAAACTTTGCTCATGTCAAGTTTTAATCAAGTGTGTCCCCAGGAAATACTAAGACATGGAAGACCTGTGAAGAAATTTCACCATTTTATTTTTTAAATAATAGGGTGTCCAAATTAAAGGTTGCACATATTTTAGGGGAGGATGAGACGTGAATAAAGGAGTTGACACACACTGTACCATTTGATTTTAAAGAAGCTAAACAAGAAGTGTTTATTTAATTAATTAATCAAGTATATGTAAGTGCCAACTGCATGTTGACCATTGAGCTATTCATACTGGGATGGAGTAGGCAGCTAGAGGCAGATAGCCCCAGTCTCCAGCACATTGTAGCTTCTCCAAACAATATGTATTAATAAATGGACAGAGACCTTGTTCTCTTTTTTTTTTTTTTTTTTTGAGACGGAGTTTGACTCTTGTTGCCCAGGTTGGAGTGCAATGGTGCGATCTCAGCTCACCACAACCTCCGCTTCCTGGGTTCAAGCTATTCTCCTGCCTCAGCCTCCCAAGTAGTTAGGATTACAGGCATGCACCACTACGCCTGGCTAATTTTGTATTTTTAGTAGAGACAGGGTTTCTCCATGTTGGCCAGGCTGGTCTCAAACTCCCGACCTCAGGTGATCCACCTGCCTCGGCCTTCCAAAGTGCTGGGATTACAGGCATGAGCCATTGTGCCTGGCCTGTTCTCTTCTGTAAAGGAACAAATAATCTAGTTGAAACTAACAGATATTATCCTATTAATCTTCACCATACATATGTGAGGAAGGAAATATTTTAAGCTAATTTTGTGAAGGAGGAAACTGAGGCTCTGGAAGGTTATTTACTCAAGGTCAGAGAACTAGAGAGTGATGGAACAAAGAATTCAGCCCCATCTGTCTGACTCTAGAGTCCCAGCTATTGATTTAGACTTGAATCTTACAGCTGCTGATGGGCCACTCTTCTAAGATCTAGGGACTGTTCTCAAGGATCTCCTGTTAATCCTTCAGTCCTTTACTCTTTTAAATATGTTTTCTTCCCTTATCTGTTATTCACCCCTAGAAATGCTATTGAACAACAATTCAGACTCCTATGGGAAATCTTCCAGCTATAATTATGAAAACACAAGAAAGCATGTACCCCCAAAGCTTAAGGGAAAACCATATTTCAAGTCAAACCTTGAGGGCTACCTGGCCAGTCATTTGGCATTCACCCAGGGCTCAGAACAACCATGACCGGGACAACCAATATGCAGGGATGTTTTCTTTGTCATTGCTGGACAGAAGGAATCTTTCTCAATGATTTTCTGTCGCCACTTGAAATAAGTTTTATGAACAGTTTAATGGCCAAATAAAGGATTTCAGGATACCTCACGGAAAGGATTCTCAATTTTGCAGTTCTCCCAGGACACTTCACAGATTTGCTTCGAGGACACATTGATGTTCCAATTTTCACCAGCGTTCAGAGTTGCCCATTTCTCCTGGAACAGCTCAGGTCAGGGAGGGCCCAGCTGAGACTAGAGATAAAGCACATTAGATAGTTGACAGTCAATAAAATATGGGACCTTGATTTTAGCTGATAATAATAGAAAGGTTTTTGGTTTACAGTTTAATTTTTTTTCAAAATCCTAATACATTTGGATAAAAGTAACTGTACAATAGGTAAATATGCCAGAGAATAAGAATGGCAGCTGGGATTTTTAAAGCTCATCAATAAAAGTGAGTTGCTTCACAAAGCCAAAATAGCTTGTTATTTGTTTTTGTTCTTGTTTTTGTTTTTATGTCATTTAATACCTAAACAATACCATTCTTTCTTGATACCCTATCACTCTTGAGGGATGTTAATTATACTTGGCCAGGAGGCTTCATCCATTCACCCAAAATTGGATCAGAGAGCTCTCATTTCTAAAATAACTGACATATTTCCAAAGGCAACAATGACAGGAGCTTCCAGAAGCACCACACGATTGGTCACAAGTAAATTTTTCAGGAATGTCCAATTAGTAGCGTATCAACAGTCACTGCATTCTTCCTCCCACCATACCTGTTGGAGGCCAGAGATTTGCTCTTGCAGCCCTCTAGGACACCCCCAATTTTTGAAAATTGTTTATCAGAGACGCTATCCAAACATATATGATTATGATGAGAGCTAAGAAAAAGTTTTAAATCTCAGGGTTTTTTTTCAGTTTACAAAACACTTTTGCATATATTGTATAATATATACAGTCTCTAGCTCTATGACAATGCTATTGTAAAACGTGCATCCTACGGTTGAAGGAAGACATTTAATGACAAGATTAAGATTAAGATTGTCAAGACATTTATATGGTGGAGCTTAAAGCTCTACTCAGGTCTTCTGATTTTTAGGGCAATCCTCTTTAACCTCCCATCATTAAGGTTAGTTGACTCATTGGCATACTCAAATGGGCAGAAGCAGCAGCACCTGGGAACTTATTAGAAATGCAAATCCTCTGGCCCCACACCAGACCCTATCTATCAAAAACTCCAGGGTGGGGCCCAGTGACCCATAGTTTAACAAGCCCTCCAGGTGACACTGATGCCCACTGAAACTGAAGACCACTGCATATGCTAAATGTAGTAGCTTAGATCATACTGTGATTGACACACAATTTTATATCAAACATTCTAGAGACAATCTAATATCTTCCTACTTTGGTACCATGAAGCTATCATAGAAATAGTTCCGATAATCAAGGCTCCAAAAACCTGAAAGTCGCGAGATGTAAAATGTTTCAAGCTTATCCATACAATGTGAAGTGGCCATTGCTGGCAGCTTCTCTTCCCTATATTCCTACCAATGGAAGGTAAAGGAAATAATTTTCCCTTCTAAAAATCAAGATTGTCCAACTATTAAATTTTGTTAGAGTAACATATCTTTACCCTATCCAAGTCCTGTTTCAAGGCTTTCAATTTTTTGTTCAGTTCATGGGCAGCCAGATGGGGTGATTCCCACCCCCAACCCCTCGCGCATATCAGGCTTCTGAACACCAACTCTTTCAAGAGCTTTCTTGCATTACATTTGAAAATGTATATGTCTTAGACTTCATACAGAAAAGAAAAGGAATGTTAGGGTCCCCTTGTCATTTGTTCCTTAGCACTCTGTATTTCTCCTTTACAGTACTCATCACACTTCTAATTAGTCGTTCAATGTCACTGTCTAATTACTTGTTCCCCACATGTTCTCTATTAAGACTTCAGAGGCCCTAAGCTCTGACAAGATAATGGTGTGTCTCTTCCAACACCAGATGGATTTTGAAATTTTTTTAAAATCAAAACTTTAAAATAAGTTCAAGAAATCCAATAAGGTTTCAATTTTACCTATCGTGAGTGCTTCTCTGCTTTACTCCAAATATCGTATACTAAACTTTATTTTAATGTTTTAAATAAATTTTAGTGTATATAATTAAGATATATCACATTGTGTTATGGGCTACATATAGATAGTAAAAAGGTTACTATAGTGAAGGAAATTAACATATCCATCGTCTCACATAGTTACCCATTTTAAAAATTTTATGACAAAGAGTAGCTAACACCTACTCATTTAGTGTGAATCCCATATGCGATACAATTTTATTATCTGTGGTCCGCGTGCTGCATATTAGATTTCTAGACTTGTTCATACTACATGTCTGCTACTTTATATCCTCTGATCTACATCTCTCCATTTCTTCCCTTCCCCTCATGCCCCCACTCCTAGTAACTAATTTTTTTTAATTTCACATATAAATTTGAGATCATGCAATATTTTTATTTCTGGGTCTGGGTTATTTCACGCAGCAAAATGCCCTCCAGGCTTATCCATGTTGTGGCAAATAGTAAGATTTTATTTTTAAAGCTTGAATAATATTCCATTAGGCATATATGTACTACAGTTTCTTTATCCATTTGTCTATTGGCAGACACTTAGGTTTTTTTCTGTATCTTGGCTATTATGAATGATGCTACAATCAATATGAGATTGTAGATATTTTTATGAAGGGGTGATTTCATTTGCTTTGGGTATATTCCCAGAAGAGGGATTACTGGATCATATGGTAGTGCTATTTTTAATTTCTTTAGTCCATATTATTTTCCATAATGTCTGTAACAGTCTACAGTCCCACAGACAGAATGTAAGAGTTCCCCTTTCTCCACACTCTCACCAACATTTATTGTCTTTTGACCTTTTGCTAGTAGCCATTCTAAAGAGTGTGAGGTTGTATTTCATAGTGTTTTTTGACTTGCATTTCCCTGATGATACAATGCACAGCATCTTTTTATATATGTTGGTCATTTGCAGGTCTTCTTGGTAGAAAAGTCTATTCAGGTCTTTTATCCATTTTGTATCCAAGTTATTTGTTTCTTGACTATTGGGCTGGGTTGTATGAGTTCTTGATAAATTTTGGATGTTAACCCTTATCAGATACAGGGTTTGCAAATATATTTTTTCAATTCAAAGGCTAATGTTTTATTTCATTAATTGTTTCTTTTGCTGTGAAGAAGCTTTTTGGTTTAATATAGTCCAATTATTTATTTTTGCTTTTGTGGCCTGAGCTTTTTGTAATGACATTCAAAATATCATTGCCAAGGCCAATGTCCAGGAGCAGGAGTTTTATAGTTTTTGTTCTTATATGTAGGTATTGTATTCATTTTTTATTTAATTTTTGTGTATGGTATAAGGTAAAGGTCCAATTTCATTCTTTTCCCTGTGAAAATCCAGTTTTCCCAACACCATCCATTGAAGAGACTATACTTTCCCCATTGTGTCCATTTGGTACCTTTGTCAAAAATGAATTAACACATTTATTTTTGGGTTCTCCATTCTGTTCCACCAGTCTATGTGTCTGTTTTTATGCCACTACCATTCTGTTTTAATTACTATAGCTTTGCAATGTAATTTTAAATCAAGAACTGTGATGACTCCTACTTTGTTTTTCTTTCTCAAAATTATGTTGGCTATTTATGGTGTTTTATGCTGCCATATAAATTTAGGATTGTTTTTTATATTTTTGTGAAGAATGCTATTTGGATTTTGATAGGGATTGTATTGAATCTGTATATTGCTTTTGGTATATAAACATTTTAAAAATAACAATTCTTATGATCCATAAGCCATGAATATTTTTCCATGTATCTGTTTCTTCTTTAATTTTTTTCCATCCATTTATTGTGCTCAATGCACAGATCTTTCACCTCTTTGGTTAAATTTATTCCCAGGTGTTTTTTTTGATACTATCATAAATGAGATTACTTTTTTGATTTCTTTTTCAGTTAGGTATTTTTGTATTAAAATGCTACTGATTATTGTATGTCCTACTATTTACAGAATTTATTTATTAGTTCTAAAATTTTTTGTGGAATATTTAGAGTTTTTGCATGTAGAATCATGTCATCTGCAAATAGAGGTAATTTCACTTCTCCTTTCCAATTGGGATGCCTTTTATTTCTTTTTCTTGTCTGATTGCTTTAGTGAGTATAGTTGACACCTAAACAACACAGGTTTGAACTGCACAGGTCCACTTACATGTGGGTTTCCTGCTTCTGCCACCCCTGAGACAACAAGATCAACCTCTCCTCTTTCTCCTCCTCCTCAGCTTACTCTGTGGAAGTTGACAAGAATAAAGACTTTTCTGGTGATATATTTCAAGTACTATGTAGTAAGTATACTTTCTCTTCCTTATGATTTTCTCAATAACATATTCTTTTCTCTAGCTTATGGATGTAATACATATAACGTACAAAATATATGTTAATCAACTATTTATATTATCTGTGAAGCTTCCAGTCAACAGTGAGCTATTATTAGTTAAGTATGTGGGAAGTCAAAAGTTATACATGGATTTTCGACTGTATGGGAATCAGTGCCCATAACCTCCACATTGTTCAAAAGTCAACTGTCTACTTCCAGTACTATGTTGAATAGAAACAGTGAGAGTGGGTATACTTCTCTTGTGTCAGATCTTAGTGGAAAAGTTTTCAATTTCTCTCCATTTATTTTAATACTTACTGTGGATTTTTTCACAAATGGCCTTTCTTATGTTGAGCAACTTTTCTTCTATACCTAAACTGTTGAGAATTTTTATCAAGAATGGATGATGGGCTTTGTCTAATGCTTTTTCTGCATCGATTGGAATGATAAGTGATTTTTAAAATTCTATTAATGTGATGCATCACATTGATTTATTCATGTATATTAAACCAGCTTTGAATGCCAGGGATGAATCTCATTTGGTCATGATGTATAATCTTTTTAATGTGTTGTTAGATTCAGTTTGCTAATACTTTATTGAGAATTTTCGCATCAATGTTCATTAAAGAAATTGGCCTATAGTTTTCTTTTCTTATGATATATTTGTCTGTCTTAAGCATTTTTATAGTTTGGATATTTGTCCCCACCCAAATCTCATGTTGAATTGTAATCCCCAGTGCTGGAGGTGGGCTCTATTGGGAGGTGTTTGGATTATGGGAGTGGATCCCTTAGGGCTTGATGTTGTCTTCATGATAGTGAGTTCTCACAAGATCTGGTCATTTAAAAGTTGTGGCACCTCCCCTCCACTCTCTCTGTCTTGTTCCTGCTTTTGCCATGTGACATACCTGTTTCCTCTTTGCCTTCTGCCAGGATTGAAAGTTCCCTAAGGCTTAACCAGAAGTTGAGCAGATGCCAGCACCATGCTTCCTGCACAGTCTACTGAACCATGAGCCAATATCACCTCTTTGGTTTATAAATTACCCAGTCTCAGGTATTTCTTTATAGCCATGCAAGAATGGACTAATACAGGCATCAAGGTGATACTGGCCTTGTAAATGTGTTTAGAAGTCTTTTCTCTAGTTCTATTTTTTGCAAGAGTTTGAGTATTGATGCTAATTATTTGAATATTTGATAGAATTCAGCTGAGAAGCCATCTGATCCTGAGCTTTTCATTTTGGGGAGATATTTTACTACTTCTTTACTCTCTTTTATTTGTTACTGGTCTCTTCAGGCTTTCTGTTTATTCCTGATTCAATCTTGGTAGGTTGTATTTTTCTAGGAATTTATCCATTCTCTCTTGGTTAGCCAATTCATTAGCATATACTTATTTATACTAGTCCGTTATAATCTCCTTATTTCTCAAATGTCTGTTGTAACATTTTCTTTTTCACTTTATTTATTTGGGTCTTCACTCTTTTTTTCTTAGGATAGCTGAAGGTTTGTCAATTTTGTTTATTTATTTTAAATAGACAACTCAGTTTTATTAATTCTGTCTATGGTTTTTCCATTATTTCATTTGTTTCTGTTCTAATGTTTATTATTTCCTCCCTTCTGCTAATTTTTGGTTTAGTTTTTTTTGTATATTTTCTTGAGGCATAGTGTTAGACTATTTATTAGGAATTTTCATTATTTTCTAATGTAGGCATTAATTGCAATAAACTGTCCTCTTAGATCTCCTTTTGCTGCATTCTGTAAGTTTTTATTCATTGCCATTTGTCTCAAGTTATTTTTTAATTTCCCTTTTGATTTTTTAACCCATTGATTGTTTAAATGCATGTTGTATAATTTTCACATATTTGTAAACTTTTCAAGATTCCTCCTGTTATTGATTTCCATAACATTGTGGTCTGAAGCAATGCTAGGTATGGTTTCAATTTTCTTAAATTTGTTAAGACTTGTTTTGTGGACTAGCATGTAGTCTATTCTGAAGAATGTTCCATGTACACGGGAGAAAAATGTTCATTCTACTGCTATTGAATGAAAATATTTTTTACATATCTGTTAGGTCCATTTGTTCAAAAGTGAAATTTAAATTCTGTGTTTTCTTATTAAAGTCCTCTCTAGTTGATCTATTCATTGTTGACAGTGGAGTATTGAAGTCTCCTGTTATTATTGTATTGCTATCTATTTCTCCCTTCATTCCATTAGTATTTCTTGATGTATTTTGGTACCCTAATGTTGAGTGCTTACATATTTACAATAGTTATTCTCCCTTGATGACTTGACCCTTTTATCATCAAATAATGACCTTCTTTGTCTCTTGTGAAAGTTTTTGACTTAAAGTCTATCTTGTCAGATATAATCATAGTCATTCCTACTCTTTTTTGGTTACCATTTGCACAGAATATCTTCTTCCATCCCTTCACTTTAAGTCTGTGTGTGCCCTTACAGCTTAACTGGATCTCTTATAGGCAGCATATAATTAGATCTTTTGTTTTGTTCATTTAGCCACTCTATGTCTTTTGATTAAATAATTTAATGCATTTACATTCAAGGTTATTATTGATAGATAAAGACTTACTATGCCATTCTGTTGTTTGTTATGAAATTGCTTTTTACTTTATTTCACCTTAATTTCTGAAGTACAGCTTTACTGGATATAATATTCTTGGTTAGCAGTTTTTCTCCTTTCAGCATTTCGAATATATTATCACATTCTCTAGTGGCTTGCAAGGTTTCTACTGAAAAATCTGCTGACAGTGTAATGGAGGTCCCCTTATATGTAACTTGATACTTTAACTTTTTAAAAAATTCTCTTTGCCTTCACCTTTGGACAGTTTGATTAAAATGCACCTCAGAGAGGATCTCTTTGGGTTGAATCTATTTGGAGACTTACGAACTTCATGTGTCTAGGTCTTCATATCTGTCCCTAAACCTAAGAAGTTTTCAATAATTATTTTACTAAATAAACTATCTGTGACTTTCTCTGTCTCTTCTCCTCATAAAATTATAATAACACAAAATTTGTTTGATCAATGGTGTTTCAAAGTACTGTAGGGTATCGTCATTCTTTTTCATTCCTTTTTTCTTTTTTATCTTCTAATTGAATCATTTTAAAAGACCTGTCTTCAAGTTCACAGATCATTTCATCTGCTTAATCTAGTCTGTTGAAGTTCTCTTTTTATTTAGTTAATTGAATTATTCAGCTCTAAGATTTTGTTTCTTTTATATGATATTCATTTCTCTGTTGAATTCCAGTCAGATCACGAATTGTTTTTCTAACTTTACTGAATTCTCCATTTGTACTCTTGTGTCTCACTGAGTTTCCTCAAGATTATTATTTTGAATTTCTCTTCAGGGAATTCATAAAGTTCCATTTTTTGAGGTCAGTTACTAGAGAATTATTTTATTCTTTTGGTGGTGTTATGTTTCCTTACATTTTTATTTTTCTTGTGTCCTCGTATTAATGTCTGTACATCTGGTGGTGTGGTCACCTCTTTCAAACTTTACAGAGTGGCTTTCACAGAGGAAGACTCCCCTGAAGATGAGCCTGAGGGTGCTGATCATGTAGGGTGCAGTGGCTCTGGTTCTATGTGGGCATAGTGGTGTGGTCTCTATACAGCTTCTGCAGTTGGGATCAACATTAGGACTGTGGGAGTGTCAGTGATCTAGGCTGTAGGAGCTTGTGGCAGTGACAGTAGCTACATAGATTATTAGGGTAAAGGCTTTAGGGATCCTTTTGTTTTTGTTTCCTCACAGTGAGGCATATTAGCTGATGATCTCTTTGTATTGAGTCTGACACAGCTCATAGGAAGCTACATCAGTACCAGGATCCAGGACACAGGTGCTCAGAGCAGCTGCAGGGCCAGCTTCCTGGGCTCAGGGTCTTGTGAAACTATTGTTATACCTGGGACTTGAAGCATAGTTTTACTTTCCAAGGCATAAATGCGTGTAATTCAGCCACTAAGATAGGGTATGTTGCTCTAAGGCACACTGCAGCAGCTCAGACCCAGGCAGGCTAGAATGCAGCTGTGGATATAACTCTGGGGTCAGAACACATTACTGGTATGACTCCTGGGTGTAAAGGTGTTCCAGAGGCTCAAGCTGCAGGGAGTAGAGCACAACTGCAATTCAGGACCCAAAACCAACAGGGCACAGTAGCAGCTCAGGCTCCAGGGAATGATGTACCATGTAGTGGTGACTCTGGACTCTGGGTTGATGGGATGCAGAAGTTGTCTGAGTTCAGTGAGGCCAGCTGCAACAGCAGCGAGGAACCAGAAATAGCATGATCCTGCTGTTGCTTGGACCACAAGGAGCAGAAAGCAGTGCAGCAATGACTCAAATCCCAAAAGGCAGGTGCTTCAGTAGCTTGGACTGCAGGGGACTAGTTTAGTTCCAGATAGACAAGGAACATGGCTGTTTGGCCTGTAGGCCAGGGTAGCACAGCTCACCCAAGTCTCTGATTTCCTGGGATATGAGGCACTGCATCTGTTTGACCACACAACGTGCAGCAATGTGGGTCAGCAGAGCCTCTGGATCCCCGGGGGTGGGGCATCATGTAAGCTGTGGTGTTAAAGAGATGCAACTGCTTCAGGGTGCCAGAATATCAGAGCCCTGAAGGGGTAGGGGAACAGGGTGTTACTTTGGCTGTGGCACCAGGGGCATGGCTGTTCCAGTAGTTTGAGGCTCTGGATCCCTGTGAGCAGGGTACCACTTCAGCTCGACCCTAGTAGGGGGGTGCACTAGTGACTGGGATGAGAAAATGAAGCAGCTCTAGGGCATAGGGTATAGCAGTAGCTCTCCATGGAAATGACATGTTTGGGTGGGTGTTGTGAGGCAGTGACTGAATCTCAGGGGTGGATGGAGGGATGCAATGGGTACTCATCCTCAGGCAGGACACACTGTACCAGTGACTTCTGTTGCAAGATGGTACAGAGCAGCAACAACATGGGCCACAAGCATGTGAGGCACAGCCTCAGCTCCTTCTCTGGGGGTAGCTCAGCATGTTGACTCAAGAGGGCTCTCTCAGATGGGCCCCAAGTCTCTGAGGACTGTAGGATTCTCCAGTAGCAAAGACTGCAGGTGTCCACAGTGGCAATGGGGGCTGCTGGGGTCCTCTTTTTTACCTTTCCTCCACAGGGAGAAGTTCCTTCTGGTTCTGAGCTGACCTTAATTAGGGGAATGAAGTGGGAGAGGCATGGTGATTCCTCCTCTTCTCCATGCAGCCATCCTGGGTTTCTGCGGTCTACAGGACTTCTGCTGCCTCCTTGCTGTTCTGCGATGCTCTCCTTTAGTTATTTTGGTCAAAATGTAGTTTTTTGTTTGTCGTTTGTTTTTCTGGCAGTGAGGGAAGGGGAGCAGAGAGAGCGCTACTAGGAGCTTCTAGTGGACCCTCTTGCTAACATCTTCAAACTTAATTTTTAACAGATGAGAGAAGGATCGCTCCTTTTTTGCTATTACCATAAGCACAGGCTTGGTCTTCCTAATGGACAATCCAGCAATATTTTCACTTAAATTGTAAGTTTCATGGGGACCAAAACTATTTCAGTCTTAGCCACAATGTATTCTCAGTGCCAGGACAATGCCTGAATCAAGATGGGTTCTTAAATAAATGTCTAATTAAAGAATAAGTGAGTGGGTGAGTGAGTGGATGGAGAGAAACAGAATGAGGAAAAAAGATAAAGTAATGGAGAAGGGTGAGAGAAGAAAACGACAGGAGAGATAAAAGGAAAGAAGGAGGGAGCGAGGAAAGGCAGAAGAAAATAAACCAGTTGGTTACTATCTTAATTTTGCTATAGGTTAGGAGAGAGATGTGTTGGTCTTAAACTCCCTGGTTCATTGCTAGACCTCAAAGAATCATCTGTTTCATTATTGCCTAATTCTGGAATAAATGTTGCCATCAACCTTTCGTGGAATTATGAACTATGTCTTTATTTACTTACATGGCATAATTTTCAAATACATGACAGCCCATTGCTCATGTTGCCTTTTTCATGGAATTAGGAAAATGTAGCCTAAGTCTTAAACTTGCAGCTGCCATCCAATGAATGAGTAGGGCCTGCTTTGTGGATAGGGCTGCGATATGCAGCATTAGCTATCCAACTGCTACAGTCCTTGGGACTTCTGAATTCTGTCACCCTAGAAAATGAACATCAGTTGTGCTGACAGCTTTTTTTCCCTATTCTGCCCTTTCTAATGAATCTATTCTAAACTGAGATATGTATTTAAATACTTTGTACATGCTATATCAAAACAGCTATATTAACTTGTGCCTACAAAATCCCACACAAATTACAGGGAACTTACACATTTGATACATTTAGCCAAAATGGAGCTTTTAGATGATATCAATCTTATCAGGTGCCAATAAATGACAATGATGCAGACCTTATTTTCTACTTTCTTGAT
Organism: Homo sapiens; assembly: GCF_000001405.40. Taxonomy (NCBI): domain Eukaryota; kingdom Metazoa; phylum Chordata; class Mammalia; order Primates; family Hominidae; genus Homo; species Homo sapiens. The sequence goes on along the minus strand of NW_025791774.1, from coordinate 151,738 downwards.
AAGAAACAATACAATGCTTTGACATAGCATCCAAATTCATAAAATAAGCAGCCAAGAATAAATTTATTCCACAGGCTGAAGTGGAGAAAAGAAGGCTCATATGCTGTGAAAACAACAATAACAATGAAAAAGACCTTCTTATATCTCTAGGTCCCCAGATCCTAATGTGACAAGGATATTATTATCCACTGGAGTCATAAAGCCTTTTATAGAGATATTTTCCCCCTTAGCCCTGTTATTTTAATTTGTGCACAGATTTTAACACAGGCAATTTCCTTCTGCAAGGGCTTTTCACTAATAGAATTATACTGTCTAAGCTCAAAATGGCCTTTCGTTCTCAGTCCACTGGGCTCAAAAGATTATTTTCTTGTGGCGGAGAGCTCTCCACACTACCTGGGAGCCCACTATTATCTGCACTGAGCACCCCAATCCTCTACATCCTTCAAGAGGCTACACAGCTGGACCCAGCATGAAAATGACAAGCAGTAGGAAGCTCCAAGAGTTTATTTTCCTCTGGCTGGGCATCACAGCTTCTGGATTCCCGTCAATGCCATCACAACGCATGCCTTTCAATAAGAAGTGATCCTAACAAGATTAAATGTAATTTAGAGTCAATAAGGAGAAGTTTTGCCATCAGGCAGAATTATAATAGACAGTATGATCAGAAGGTAGAGAATCTGGAAGGTTTTCAGGGATGCATTCTATTGTAAAAAAATGAAACACGGAGGGGAAAAAAATGTTCATTCTCAGCCAAACTTTTCACTAGCTCCCTTTTGCACACAAATCCATTCACGGTCTGTATTAGTCCATTCTCCACACTGCTCTGAAGAAATACCCAAGACTGGGTCATTTATAAAGGAAAGAGGTTTAATTGACTCACAGTTCAGCATGGCTGGGAGGCCTCAGGAAACTTACAATCATAGTGGAAGGGGAAGCAAACACGTCCTACTTCACGTGGCACCAGGAGAGAGAAGTGCAAAGAGAAGGGGGAAAAACCCCTTATAAAACCATCAGATCTCATGAAAAACTCACTATCAAGAGGACAGTATGGGGTACTGCCCCAATGATCTAATCACCTCCCACAAGGTCCCTCCCCCAACACATGGGTATTACAATTAAGATTACAATTAAAGATTAGATTTGGGTGGGGACATAGAGCCAGACCATATCTCAGTTTATTTAGGTAACGAGAACTGTGTATTGCAGTTACAGGGAGGTAAAAACAGAGAAAGACATTTGCAGGAAAAGGAAAACACAGTGTGATTTCTCCAGAGTCATCTTCATTGCTATACAAATGCTGAATGTTTTCACTTTTGCACGACATGGAACTCGAACCCACAAAAGGCACATGGAGCCCACTACAGAATTATACTTCATTCAGGGCACCTCTTAAATCATCACTTGATAGGCAGTAGCTTTGGGAGGTGGCCACTCTTCTGGAAGGCAGCCCTCCATCTTCTGGGCATAACAGATCTGGGAAAGTAGCAGTGGAATTGAGAAACTCTAGTCCAGGGAAGAATAAGCCCACACTGCAAGAAGAATAAGACGCTTTCATGGAGTTACCAGTGAATGCCCTTCATTGGAATCAATTGCCCTGGTATAAATGCAATGAATAAGAAAGTAAGGTGGGCATGTAGCAAGAGTTGATTGTCTGTAATTATTTCCATAATATTAGAGTATTTACAATAAAATTAATGGGAAATAATAATAATAGCTACCACTCCATAAGCATTATAATGAGCACTTAGTGGACAATGTTCTAAGTTATTTTACATATATCATCTCATTTAATTCTCACTGAAGTTTTATATAAAGTATTTTTGCTTAACTTTCACTTTACAAATGGTGAAAATAAAAAGCAAAGATATGAGTAAGTAGCTTCATGTCACACGTTCCATAAAATGTGGAGCCATAATCACACACTGAGCTATGTGACACTATTCTCATGCTTAACCATCACATCTGTTCAACTGGTGACTGGAAATGCAAAACTTTAATCATGGGAATAATTCTAGTTTGGTCAATGTCATTGCTGGGAAGAGTAATAAGCTTATTAGAAGCCAGGATTCAAAAACAAAATGGCCCGGGTGAATGTAGAAACGAATAAAATAATTTTTGACATGGACAATCATAATCTTAGATAAAAAGAAACTATACCTCTACTACTCTGTGAAATGACTAGCTGTGAGGTATGGAAAATTGGCTGAAGTTTTAGAGACATAGACCATCTTATGACGAAAGATTGTGGTGTGGCTGTGTCAGGGCAGCCCATTGAAAATAACCAGGAGTCAAGCCCTGTTACCAGGCCTGGTTCTGCTACAACCTTGTGGGGAAAGAATACAAAGCAGCATATTAATGTCTACAGTCAGAGTGTATGGGTCTCAATATTGGCTTCACCACTTCCCAACTCCATGGTTTACACAAGTTACTGATCTCTGCTCTGCCTCAATTTACTCATCTATAAAATCGGGAAAATAATCGTAGAATTTGTTACAAAGTTTTTGTGAGGATTAAGTGAGTCAATCCACGTCTTAAGTTTTCATTGCAAATAAGAACTTGACTACTTAATATCTATTCCATCAATGACTTAATATGCATTTATAAATTACTTAGATATGCCAAATATTGTGATAGATACTGGAAATATAAATGTGAATACGACTTCAAGTTGTTCACCATTTGGAAGGACAAAGTATCTCAAAACCACCAAAACATTGAAAACAGTATGTGTGTAACATATTACATCTGTGAGAATGGTTATTATCAAAAAGACAAAACATAAGCGCTGGTGAGGATGTGAAGGGAAGGAAACCGTTGCACACCATTGTTGGGAAGGTAAGTTAGTCTAGCTATTCTGGAAAATGGCTTGGGGGTTTCTCAAAAATAACAAACATATGAAAAAAAAGCTCATTATCACTGGTTATCAGAGAAATGCAAATCAAAACCACAATGAGATACCATATCATGCTATTTAGAACGGCGATCATTAAAAAGTCAGGAAGCAACAGATGCTGGAGAAGATGTGGAGAAATAGGAATGCTTTTACACTGTTGGTGAAAGTGTAAATTAGTTCAACCATTGTGGAAGACAGTGTGGTGATTCCTCAAGGATCTGGAACTAAAAATACCATTTGACCCAGCAATCTCATTACTGGGTATATACCCAAAGGATTATAAATCATTCTACTACAAAGACACATGCACATGTATGTTTATTGTGGCACTGTTCACAATAGCAAAGACTTGAAACCAACCCAAATGCCTATCAATGATAGACTGGATGAAGAAAGTGTGGCACATATACACCATGGAATACTATGCAGCCATAAGAAAGGATGAGTTCATGTCCTTTGCAGGAACATGGATGATGCTGGAAACCATCATTCTCAGCAAACTAACACAAGAACAGAAAACCAAACACCACATGTTCTCACTCATAAGTGGGAGTTGAACAATGAGAACACATGGACACAGGGAGGGGAACATCACACACCGGGGCCTGTCAGTGGGTGGGGGTCTAGGGGAGGGATAGCATTAGGAGAAATACCTAATGTAGATGATGGATTGACGGGTGCAGCAAACCACCATGGCACGTGTATACCTATGTAACAAACCTGCATGTTCTGCACATGTACCCCAGAACTGAAAGTACACTAAAAAAATTAAAAATAGAACTGCTATATGATCCAGCAATCCCACTACTGGACATATATCCAAAGGAAATGAAATCAGAAGCTCAAAGGAAAATATGCACTCTCATGTTCCTTATAGCATTATTCACAATAGTCAAGATATGGAATCAACCTAAGTGTCTATCAACAGATGAACAGATAAAGAAAATGTGGGAGACACAGACACATATGTATGTATGGATATGGATATATATCTATATATATATAGATATATATATATGGATGGATGATATGTAAACTAATATATGTATATACATACAAATCTACACAATGGAATACTATTCAGCCTTTAAAAAGAACAAAATTATGTCATTTGGGACAACATGAATAAGCCTGGAAAACATTATGTTAAGTGAAATATTTCGGACACAGAAACACAAATACCAAGTGATCTCACTTATATGTTGAATCTAGACAAGTGGGTCTCATAGAAGTAGAGAGTAAAATGGTGGTTACCAGGGACTAGGGGTGGGAGTGGAAAGGGGTTGGGGAGATGTTGGTTAAAAAAATTATGTGTGACAGAGATATAAATTAGTGATTACAGACCAGAGGAAGCAGTTAATTTTTAAGTATCTCGAAACTTTAACAAGTACTTTAAAAATATGTTACAAAGAGAAGATAAATGTTTGACGTAATGGATACCCCAGTGGCCTGAATTTGGTCATTGCACATTGTATATGGGTATCAAAATATCACATGCACTAAAAAATTACAATTATTACATATCATTTTAAAAATTGTTAAAATGGAAAAAATATCTGTTGTCTTAAATGCACACCTAGATGGAGTATTGTATATATTGGCCAATGTCTATCAATTGGACCATTGTTCGTATTCAGAGCCATTACTGACCTACCCATTTCCATTATCCAAATATCCAATCAATTATCTTGACTGCTGAAATGTGTCTTTATCTTTAAATGCATTTTTCTAATAATAAAAGAAAACAGAAGCTAAGTATGGAAAACATTGGAATAAATTATAAGGAAGAGAGAAAAATTAGCTATAACACCACAACCTAGAAAAAATTTAGATATTCATAGTGGTTATTTCTTTCCATCTGTTCTCTTTGTGTGTGTGTGTGTGTGTGTGTGTGTGTGTGTGTGTATAGAGAGAGAGAGAGGTTATAATATATATCCTATATCTAATGTATTACATAAATATATTAACTCTTCCATATACATTTTTAATTTTTCATTTTGAAATAATTTTGTACTTACAGAAGAGTTTCAAGAGAGTACACAGACTTCTATATATTCTGCACCAAGCATTCCCTAATGGTAACTGTCGTATATTTATCAAAACTAACGAGTTAACACTGATAAAGCAGCATTAATCAAACTGCAGGCTTTATTTGGATTTCCCAGTTTTTCCACTAATGTTCTTTCTTCTGTTCCAGGATATAATACAAAAAATCATCTTGCATTTCAGTTCCCATGTACTTTAGATACATTAATTACAATTATAAATTAACTTTCCATGTATGTACTTCCCACTCCACATAGGACTCTTAACACATCAAGTATACTCTACTATAAGCTTTCAGTCTGGTTCCTATATCCCACTTCCTTTACTATTCCTCAAAGTGCTACCTATAAATCATCACCATCCTGCTCAGAAACCTTCAACCTTACTCTGAGAGAAAAACCGAAGGTTCTTTGGAGAACATTAGAGACTCTCCACATTCAAGTCCCAGCCTGCCTGCTCTCTTCCCTGAGGTGAGCTGGCCTGAGCACTGCCCCCAACAGCCCACAGGCTTTATGCTTTCTACTTCCATATTTTTACCTATATTATTTGTATTATCACTCAGGTTATTTTTTAATTGTATTATTTTCCCTTGCACATGAAAGCCATCCCCACCCACCTCACTCTCCTCTGCTTATACATAGTCATGCATCCCTTAATGACAGGGATACGTTCTGCGAAACGCATTGTTAGGCAATGTCATCATTGTGCAAACATCGTAGAGTGCACTTACGCAGATTTAGGTGGTGTAGCCTACTACACACCTAGGCTATGTGGGGGAGCCAATTGCTCCTAGACTACAAACCCGTACAGCATGTGACTGTACTGAACACTGTAGGCAATTGTAGCACAAGACCAAGTTTTGTGTAGCTAAACATATCTAAGCACTGAAAAGATATGGGAAAAATACAGTATAAAAGTTTTTTTAAAAGGTAAAAAACGGTAGGGCACTTACCATGAATAGAGCTTTTGAGACTGGAAGTTGCTCTGGGTGAGCCAGTGAGTGAGTAGTGAGTGAATGTGAAGGCCTAGGACGTTACTGTACACGAAGACTTTACAAACACTGTATACTTAGGTTATACTAAATTTATAAAAAGAAATTTTCTTTCTTCAATAATAAATTAATCTTAGCTTAAAATAATGTTCTTACTTTATAAACTTTTAATTTCCTTAATTTTTGACTCTTTTGTAATAACATAGCTTAAAACACAAACACATTTTACAGATGTGCAAAAATATTTTTATATCCTTTTTCTTTAAGCTTTTTTCTATTTTTATTTTACTTTACTTTTTAAACTTTTTTGTTAAAAATTATGACATAAACACACTCATTGTCCTAGGTCTACACAGGGTCAGGATCATCAATATCAGTCTTCTACCTCCACACCTTGTCCCACTGGAAGGTTTTCAGGGGCCCTAACAGGCATGGAGCTGTCTTCTCCTATGATAACAACCCCTTCTTCTGGAAGACCTCCTGCAGAATCCGCCTGAGGCTATTATACAGTTAACTTTTTTTCATTAGTAGAATGAGAACACTTTAAAAGAATGATTAAAAGTATAGTAAACACATAAAACAGTATCAATCTATGATCATTATCAAATACTGTGTATCACACACACTCATATATCCTAGACTTTTATGCAACTGGTACCACAGTAGGTTTGTTTACACCAGCATCACCACAAACACATCTTAGCACAACGCATTATGCTAAGATTTCATGATGGCTACGATGTCACAAGGTGATAGAGATTTTTCAGCTCTATTATAATTTTATGGGACCAGCATCGTGTATGTGGTTTGTCATTGACCTAAACGTTGTTACGTGACACATAGCTGTACAACTCTGATTCTCTAAAAATTCACCCAGCATTGTTTGCTATCATTTTAGTCTCTATCCTAGTTCCCCAACCAGTTCATGAACTTCTTTGGAGAACTGTCTTGTCTGCAGTATTGCATCTCTATAAAGTATTGCACAGTTTAGTTTAATCAATACGTACTGATTGAGCAGCCGGACACCTTCAACTCTAATGATATAAATAATGTGATCTCTGGGTGTCCAGTCCAGCACTTAAGGAGCTTGGAAGTTGTCACTCCCATCATTTAAGGAGCTCAGAACTTGTCACTCCCATCCTAACACAAGCAAAACAGCCAAACAGAAAATTAACATATATTTTTAGAGTCATCAGAGAATTAAGGTCATAGGAAAAACCACTGACACCAGAATTAGACACGGACAGGCAAAACATGAATCCCAACTTACCAGGACAGAGACTCATAAACAGATACTTCTGTGGGAAGCAGAGATGGTCCCATAACAGGAAAAGCCAAACTATAATTGATGAATTGCTGGGGGCTCAGTGTGGACAAGTTTGAGAGTTTAAAATAATAGCTCGACACTAACTGTGCCTTTACCATGCTTCAGGATATAAACATGTTATATATATCAGCTTAACTAACTCTCACAACAGTCTTATAAGGAAGTTTATCTCCATTTTACAGATAGGGAAACTGAAGCATGGGAAACTTGAGTAAGTTACTTAATGTCACTTGGATAATAAACATCGGAGCCAGGATTTGAATCCAGGTGAGTTGGCTCAGGAACCCACACTCTTAATGATGCATTACATTTGCCTGATACCAGATACAAATAGCCACTCCGGCAAGGTCATCTAGGTCAGTCATTGCTCAGGTATCACATTCAGACACTGGGAAAGCCTGGGATCACAGGCCTTGTCTACTACTCTCTTCGAGACACTCTCAGCAACTCACATAGTTGGGGGTTGTTCTTTCCTATGGCCGGCCCTACCTTGGCACTTCAACCCCCACCTCCCCATCTTACCTACTGCCACAGTTAATAAGGTTTATTCTCCTTTCACATCACCATAACCCATATTATGAAAGACCATCATCAAATGTCTCTATGTCACATTTTTCCTAATTTCATTCTTTAGGGCTCATCATGCTTTGTACTCTCTACTATGTCCCTCCCCTCAGACAAGAGCCTAAAATATTCTGATTAGTGATGAATATGTGTTCTCCGGGTGAGGCGTATTGCTAATAATTAAACAGTATTAATTCTACCAGCTTTGATTATACTCTGCTCTCTCAGTAATAAGGTTCAGTATTCTATTTTCATTCTGCCTAGCATTGAGTAATAGAATTGGTGTTTAAGAATTATCATATAAATCTATTTTTTGGTCAGCCAGTGTTGGAGGGTTTTTTTCAATATATTACAAATGTATTCATTATTCCCTAGTTCATAAAAATAATTAAAAGCTACAGGCCAAACACAAATTCCCAGAACACGAAAACCTGACTGGCATCCCACTGCCAAATACCAAGGTTGCCAGCTTCTGAGTTTATGGGTTTCTTAATGAGAACTTCTACCTTCTCATTCGATAAAGGGCTTAGGTAGACAATTCCTCCTGGTGTTCCTAGTATAATTCCTGATATAACCAGGAGTTGCAAAACTAAAACCCTACACATCTAAAATGAAACTGGCCTACTGTTATTTTATATATGTTTTTAGAAATTCAGAAATGACTTGCCCTAAAATAAAACCTGTCAAAAAAATTTCTTAAAAGTGATTCATAGAATGTAAATAACATGTGTTCATACTCTTCTAAAAAAGAAAGGAGGAAAATAACAGAGAAGGAAATACAAATAGATCCAATTCATCATTGTGATACCTAGGTTTCTCCTTAGATAAAACAGACATAAAACATGTGCTTTACAAGTCTCAGATGACCTTCAAGACATCTAAGTACAGTATCTGTGGATTTTTAAGTATAATTAACAACTTGTTTTTCTATTTAAAGAATTTTCATTCTGTTTCCTTAACAGGCAAAAGCCAATCAGTCTTGTTCTCAAATGCTAATGTAAGTAATTAAAAATAACATTAATTGAAATACTGCAGGGCTGTTAGGTTTTTAGATGGTGAGTTATTTTTTTTTCCTTCATCTTAACCTTGTGGCAATACTAATTTACATGACCAATTAGGGAAGCACCCTTTGTATGATCCATCTCTAGGATAAAGAGCTGGGCTTTAAAATCCAGCAAAGAACTGCAGAAGGCCACAGCACTGTAAGTAAGCTTGGGCGCCAGCAGCTAGAATCTTTATTTCACCTGGTAGACCAAACATGACAGATCGTCTTATTTACAGTGTGAATACTAATTTTTTTGGTTTTGGTAACAAAAATACAGTGCTCATTTGTATTGTTGTAAAACTTGTAAATATGCCCTGTAGGATAAGTAATATTCGAAGCAACATCCTAATTAAAAGGAAAACTCAGTTGTCTTGCAAGATAATACAAAAGGGCACATAAATTGTAAATAAGATACATGGTAAAAATGAAAAAGACAGGCTGGATAGGAAAGGAATGAAATAAGATTCGGAAATGTGCTTCTTAAATGAACACAAATTGTGAGATAATGTCTCACTGAACAATAAAAATAACAAACCAGTGGCAAAGATGTAATAGAATTTCCTCTGTATACCATTTTAATCTTAATATAATTTTCCCCAGTGCATCCACATTTATTGAACTACTACAACCATTTCTTTCTCACTCTGTCCAAAGTTACTGAGAGTGTGTTTCTTTGCTGTAAATAATTCCCTGATTATGAACATGAAAACGATCCAGAAATTGACCACAGTTTATAAAAGAAAAAAAATGACAGAGCATCTGCTCAGGGCCAAAAGCCTTACAAGAATGCCAAAAGCATGTGCAGTTTCCTCAGGGAAGCAGGGGCTGCATGCAAAAAACCATTTTCCCTTCCTCCTGCATAAGGCAACTCCACACCTCTATTTCTTTGTTCCTGTCTTCAGAAAATGCAGAGAAGACTTCCATGGTACCTCAAACTACAGTTTGCCATCATGTGAGAATAGGGCTGATGCCAAGGGAAGTGCCAAGTCCAGTTAATCAGAACCCAAATGGCTTGAGAAAGATGCACAACAGTATGGCCTCAGTTTCTCAGTCTGCAAAATGGGGATGATCATAGTTAAACCTCTTAGCTTCAAGTCTAATGGGTAACTAGGTGCTTACTGAAGTCTACTGAAATATGGATGTGAAAGACCAAACTCCACATACGTGAAGGGTTTGCTGGAGGGGAGACATGGAGGCCAGAAGGAGCCCTGCCTCTACTCCTGACCCCTACCTTAGGAAGTTCAGTAAAATGTCCAATTCCAGTCAACCCCATACCAATCTCAGACATTTCAACTACCGGGGTAATAAATCCCCACCCCACCTTTGCTTACACTGAGGTTGGTCATTCACTTCATGTATTTTTTTCATGAGGTTCTTAAGGTTCTAAACTTTAAAGAAACATTCAAAAGTGGAAATTATGCCCTGCTTATCACTTAGCTTTTAATTTGGCACCACTCTGCCAAATTAGGAATCTGTTTTTTACTGAACATCAACACTCAAATACTTTTTCTGCCATTCAAAGTCTAATTTATTCTATTATTTTATTATTTTTCAAAAGTTCATTAGGCAAAAGGGAGATGTACTTGTCCAAACACACAAAATATGGGCCGAATATATTAACAAGTAGATTATCAATTCACTATTTTGTTGAAATGAATGCATAACTGTATAATGTGACTTTTAACTTTGATTTTTTATGTAGAAAAATTATGGATCACATGGCAGTGGATCACCTAAGCAAAAACAGCTTATGGAATCAGAATAATTAAGTTCACAAACAGGTACGCTTATAATAAATGGTCTCCTGTTACAGTTGCAAATCATGGTTGTATCATCTTTATAAACTTTGCATTTTTTTCTAGAAAAATGTCTAAGGATTTAAATTTATGTTTCCAGGTCTATCTGATTTTGCAATACAAAAATCAAGGTTAGTGGTTTTCTCTTCCATTTTTTTTAAAAACCTCATTGATCCAAATACAAATAAAGGCCATTATTAAATACTTCACGAGGCATTACATATTCAGACATTTAATCACAGATCCATTGATATTAAATGTTGATTAAAGAAGTAAGTTGAGATTGCCTGAAAGATCATCACCAAAGCAGATTTCCTTTCCAAAAGCAGACGCCTCTCCTGTATTTCTCAGCCATCTTGCCTACAGATGTGCTTCAAGGCCATTGTTTCGGATGATCTTGGCATATTCCTTGGCCGATGTGTAAGGGACTCGGGGTCTAGCTGGGTCTTCAAAATCAACGTGGAAGAGACCAAACCGGCTGCTGTATCCCTGGTTCCACTCAAAGTTATCCAGAAGAGACCATGCACAATATACTTGAAGATTGACTTTATCAAGTTGGATAGCTGAAATTTAAAAAAAAAGAAAATTATCATTTCTGGGAAGGCCTGATGAGAACACAGACAAAATCACTGATGAGCAGTCTGGGTCTCTTTCTCCTTCTCTGCAGGAGATCACAGTGGGAGAAGACAAAACCTGTTCTCTATCCCCCTTTTCCACAAAAAAGAGATAAGTATGTAAGGTAATGCATTCTAATTCGCTTGATTTAGCCATTCTACAATGCTGTACATATATCAAAGCATCATGCTGTACACCTTAAATATATCCAACTTTTATTTGTCTATTTTAAAAATCCCCTTTTCCAGTTTTCTGCTTGAATCAAGCAGGGGCTTAATTCAATAAGTTGTTATATATTATTCTAATTATTCGGCAATTCATTCATTTCGAATTTACTTCATTCATTTACTCAATGAACAATTTTTCAGTACCTATCACTTTTTAGGCACAAAGATACACACACAAGTTCCTCTCTGGTACCTAGAAGGATATTCAGTAAAGACACTGTTCCGTTTGTAAGTACAGCCTCCAGGTATTCCAGAAAGTCCACTAGAAAATTGGAAGAGATAACAGTAGCATGCCTGAGGAAGCCTCAGAGCTTACCTGCTGTCCCCATGGTCAAACTGAGACATGTCTTATAATTCTGGAGACAGAGCCTCCAAAATGAAAAGAGTCAAGGGTCAGCACGCAGCTTCAGCCATGACTATATCCTAGACCGAGGGAGTACAGAAATGCTATGGCATCCTCTCTTAGTCTGATAGGGTGGCTATAACAGCACACCATACACTGGGTGGCTTATAAAAAGAAAAAATTTATTTCTCACAGTTCTGAAGGCTGGGAAGTCCAAGATCAAGGTGGCAACAGATTTGCTGTCTTGTGTGGGACTGTATCCTGTTCACAGATGAGTGTCTTCTTGCTGTGTCCTCATATGGCAGAAGGGGCCAGGGAGCGCTCTCATACTCTACTTATAAGGGCACATATTCCATTTATGGGGGCTCCATCCACATGACTTAATCACCACCCAAAGGCCCCACCTTTGGGATACCGGGAGCTAAGGTGTCAATATGAATTTGTGCGGGGTTGGAGGGGACAAAACTTTCCATCCATAGCACATCCTCTTTGCCCCATATCTAAACTCAAAATGGTGCTTAAGCCCTTTAAGAGCCAAAGCAATGGAGCATCTCTCCACTAAGTGTATACATTCATAAATATTTGGTATGATTTTATTTGTGGATGCCCAGAAGCCCATCCACAGACTCCATGTTAAGACATCAAAATGTAGATTCAACACATATAACTATTCTCCACATAGTTTCACACTGATTTCCATCACTTTATTCAGGGAATTTAGCTTACATTTTCTTAGCATTTTAAGCTTGGCAAAACTCTGAGGTCTTGTGAGTCCTTGCATTGCGCATTTTCTTTTTTAAAACCAGAATAAATAAACCCAACCTATGGGATGCACTTCCTAAAACACCAAATATCCATTTCTCAGTAGAGAAATTAAATGAAAAGGCCAGTTGCTTTATAAGGTGGATATATGTCTAAATAAGCTAGGTGAGAATAAACATTCATATACTAAATCATATTTTAATTGTTTCAGAGATTGCTTTCAACCAAAATGACTCCTCTAAATATTCAGCAAAATAATACCTAACCTTTAATTTTTTCATTGGTGTCCATTTTGTATTTCAGGTCTCTTAAAAGCACTATATCTATATTCCACTACACATGCGTTGCTCTCCAAACATTCTTGGAATTTTTTTCTATGGATATTCCGTAGACAAAAAGCCCCCAACAGTCTAACGTATAACCCCCTCAACATTTGTGCCTGGAGGCGTAAGATCTGCTTTGCTTAGAGAGTTTTTTATAAATAGCCTTGAGGCAGGAATTAAGCCAAGCTGGATTGACTCCTTTAATTTTTTTTTAATTTTCAATTTTTGTGAGTGCATAGTAGGTGTATATATTTATGGGGTACCTGAGATATTTTGATATAGCCATGCAATGTGTAATAACCACATCATGGTAAATGGCACGGGGTACAGTGTCAACCATAAGGCTGTCCTCACTGTGACACCAACCACGACCACACGGTAACTGATGTGATTTATCATGATGTTATTATTACACATTGCATGTCTATATCGAAGTATCTCATGTATCCATCCCCTTAAGCATTATCCTTTGTGTTGTAAACAATCCAATTATACTTTTAATTATTTTTTAATGTACAATTATATTATTATTGACTGTAGTCACCCTGTTGTGCTATCAAATACTAGGTTTTATTCATTCTCTCTATTTTTTATAACCATTAACCATTCCCACTTTGCCCCCTCCTACAAACCCTCCACTACCCTTCCCAGCTTCTGGTAACTAACATTTTACTCTCTATCTCCATGAGTTCAATTGTTTTAAATTTTAGCTCCCACAAATAAGTGAGAACATGTGAAGTTTGTCTTTCTATGCCTGGCTTATTTCACTTAACATAATGTCCTTCAGTTCCATCCATGTTGTTGCAAATAACTGGATCTCACTCTTTTTTATGGCCAAATAGTACTCCATTGTGTATATGTACCACATTTTCTTTATCTATTCATTGATTGATGAACACTTAGGTTGCTTCCAAATCTTGGCTATTGTGAACAGTGCTGTAACAAACATGGCCATGCAGATATTCCTTCAATACACTGATTTCCTTTCTTTGGGGTACATACCCAGCAGTGGGATGGCTGGATGGTAGCTCTATTCTTAGTTTTTTGAGGAACCTCCACACTGTACTCCATAGTGGTTGTACAGATTTACATATTAGCTCTTTTTAAATAAATATTGTTGAGAAATAAGAAATATAGCAATAAGCACATTAAGCTGTGCATGAATAAAAGCATTACTAGATATCCCTTTTTCTCCTACCTGTCCACATTTGCTATGTCAGTTATAATCTGGAAATATCAATGTTTTATATAATTTATTTTTTTAAGAACCCAGTTTAAGTACTGGATGGCATATCTCTAAGAATCAAAATGGTCTGGCCAGGCGTGGTGACTCATGCCTTTAATCCCAGCACTTTGGGAGGCCGAGGTGGCTGGATCACCTGAGGTCAGGAGTTTGGGACCAGCCTGGCCAACATGGTGAAACCCTATCTCTACCAAAATTACAAAAATTAGCTGGGCGTGGTGGCGGGCACCTGTAGTCCCAGCTACTTGAGAGGCTGAAGCAGGAGAATCACTTTTACCTGGGAGGCAGAGGTTGCAGTGAGCCGACATCATGCCACTGCACTCCAGTCTGGGCAACAGAGTGAGACTCTAACTCAAAAAAAAAAAAAAAAAAAAAAAAAAAAAAAAATATATATATATATATATATATATATATATATATATATATATATATATATTTATCTCAAAGCCAAATACCAGGCCAGAAAGCAATAGTCTCTTTTGCCTTGTAATTCAACCTGGGGACATGTGAGAATTTGCATATTTTCTTTCTCATTTGCAGAACCACTGCCCAACAAGAAACCCTGCCAGGTATAAAGCCAGACAGTTTCTGAAAACACACATGGTCCCACTGATCACATATAAAAGGATTGATTCATGTGCTAAACCACTGGACAAAAACGATGCCTTGCCTGCTTGGAAGGGAACAAAAAGGAAATCTTGACAATTTCATTGTTAACTGCCAGGAGTTCTGCAGCAGGCACTAAACTGCCCGAGTGACACTGGTGAATGTCTGTGCATTTTCATTGCAGGAACATTGAAGTAGAGAATTACTTAGTTAAGACTGAGGAACTAGCCTGCTGGAATCTTCCTCACTTGCCACCACTGGGAAAAATTACAAAACCACACTGGAACCTGCATGCCTCTCCTCTTCCAATCTCCTCAAGAACCAAAAGAGACCATCATTACATTTCTTGCCACCATGATTTATGAGGTCTTAAATCTTGCCAGGGGGAAAAAAAACACTTCTATGAGTTCACTTTCTGTTTCCAGAGTTGGAGTCAAAATAAACACAGGAGCTTTGGGTGAGTATGGAGCACACTAGGATAAAAATGACATGCATCACAAAGTCAGGGTATGGGTTTGGACTACAAGATCAGTGGAAAACGTCTCACAGTAAGCAGGTTGGAAATAAAAGTGTAAGAGAAGTATCTAAGCCTTGCTAATATGTTATAGCTTCTTTCGGGCTGTTCTAATTATAAATACCCTATGCAGGCTAGGCACGGTGGCTCACACCTGTAATCCTAGCACTTTGGGAGGCCAAAACGGGCGGCAGATCACCTGAGGTCAGGAGTTCGAGACCAGCCTGGCCAACATGGTGAAAAACCATCTCTACTAAAAATACAAAAATTAGCCAGGCATGGTGGCATGTGCCTGTAGTCCCATCTACATGGGAGGCTGAGGCAGAAGACTTTCTTGAACCCAGGAGGCAGAGGTTGCAGTGAGACAAGATCGCACCACTGCACTCTAGCCTGGGTGACAGAGTGACACTCTGCCAAAAAAAAAAAAAACCCTATGCTAGTGTTGTACTCTACACATGCGCGCACACACGCACACACACACACTCTCTCACACACACATGCACACATAAATGCACTGCCCAGTTAGCCAGACTGAAAAGGTTGAGGGCATAACATCAACCATAAGACTGTCCTCACTGTGACACCAACCACAAGATCAAGGGTTTGCCAAACCTTCAGTTTTGGTAATTTGCTAAAAAGACTCACAAAATTCACAGAAAACTGTTATAGTCACAGTTCTGATTTATTACAGGAAGAGATAGAGATTGGCTAAAGAAATAAATGCATAGCACAGGACCTGAGGGGTTCCAAACATGAAGTTTCCATATGACTCCCCTGGGAGTCAAATGCATTGTCTTCCTGGTATTAACGTGCACAATACACATAGAGAATTGCCAACTAGGAAAGCACACCTGAGTTTTAGTGTACAGAGTTTTTATTGGGGGCTGTATTAGGGTTCTCTTAGAGGGACAGAACTAATAGGATATATTATGTATATAGGATATATATGTATATAAACTACGCTTTATATATAAAGTATTAACTTACATGATCACAAGGTCCCACAATAGGCTGTCTGCAGGCTGAGGAGCAAGGAGAGCCAGTCTGAGTCCCAAAACTGAAGAACTTGGAGTCCAATGTTTGAGGGCAGGAAGCATCCAACATGGGAGAGAGACGTAGGCTGGGAGGCTAGGCCTGTCTTGTCTCTTCATGTTTTTCTGCTTGCTTTGTATTCACTGGCAGCTGATTAGATGGTGCCCACCCAATTTCTGCTTGCTTTATACTCACTGGCAGCTGATTAGATGGTGCCCACCCAATTAAAGGTGGGTCTGCCTTCCCCAGCCCACTGACTCAAATGTTAATCTCCTTTGGCAACACCCTCACAGACACACCAAGGATCAATGTTGCATTTTTCAATTCAATCAAGTTGACACTCAGTATTAACCATCACAAGGGCTTTATTATAGAGGCATGATTGATCAATTGATTGCCCAAGTGGATTAACTCAGTTTCCTGGTTAACTGATGCCAGGAACCTAAAGCCCCCACATTAAATGTGATTGGTCTTCCTGATGTGATGAGCTCCCAACCTAAACAAAGAGATTTTTTTCAATTATGATATAGATTGCCTCTTAGAAGCTGAGTGCAAAAACCAAACCGCTCTTTGGACAAAATTTAATTCTTCACTACACGTGTGTGCATACTCATATACATAGAGACATTATTTTAGAAACTCATTATTTTATGACAAGGGGCAGAATCTTTTTAAGTTGCTGGTTTATGAAACATCCTAATTATGCTTGTGTTTGTCACATTACAAAACTCTAGAAATTGGAAGCTCAGCATCAATGGAATTTATTTTTCCACAATTTATAAACAGAGGTAGTCTTTGTTTTCACGATGGTCTAGGACTTATATATAAGATACCTGTGGATGTGACAAAACTATCAAGCTATCAAAAAAAAACCACTCATCCATAGACCCAAGCTGCCATGTCAAGAATCAATGGAAAAATTCAGGACAGTGCAAAAAGCAGCCGCCTCACAAAGGAAAAAAAAGAGAGGAGTAAAGTGCCAGGAATGAGCAGGGAGAAAAAATATATAGGCCTCTAGATTTTTCTGTTTAGCTAATGGCAAGCTATAATATTCAAGGAAACCTTCCTAAGGAAAGTAAGTAAAGAAGGCTGAATATAGTTTTTAAAAATAAATCTTCAAAACAATGGAAATCTGACAAGTTAGTAGAGAATTAACAAGTCAAATTTGAAAGTGGAATTTGAGGTTGGTAGACATGAGAGCTACTTTTGCCTGATGGCATGTTCCAATCTTAGAAAATCTAAATCTTTTTCTGTTTCCTGGGGTAAAGCTAGATGTCAAAACTCAGAGTCATAGCAGGTGGGAAGTCTAGTATGAGACCCCACCCAGAGAAGACTACACACTCAAAAGATAAAACACTCCGTGTAATGGTGAGAGAGTGCCAGAGACAAACTAGTCATTGGAAAGTCTTGAGTTTAATCCCCGGTGGTTCAACAAGTGTAAAGTCTGGATCTTGGTTTGAGGTGATGGCATACTGGTAGTACCCCCAAGTACCTGGCAGATGGACATTCAAGTTATTTTTGAAAAGAGTGATCTGTATATTCTAAAACTCCAATAGTTATTACAATATTTTAAGTATAATCATCAGCACATAATCATATATAACCAGAAAGACATGGAAAATTATGACATAAAGAAAAATAAATAACCACAATCAACAGACAACAGAAACAAATCCACAAAGCACTTAGTTATTAGAACTGTCATACAGACTGTACAACAACCACATTTACCATGCTTAAGGAAAACAGACAAGCCTGAAATATCTTCAAGGTTAGGAACCCAGAAACACTGAGGTGACATGTTTGGAAAGGGAACCTCTACAGGCTTACATTTTAATCCCAGCTGCACCAGTTGCTAGCTGGAAGGAGCCTCTCATTTCTCATGAATACAATGGAGACACTATTATCTACTCCTAGTGATGTTAAAAAGAGTAAATGAAATAATAAGGAAGGCCGAACCCAAGGTAAAATAAACACCAGGAAGGCACATGGACAGAGGAAAGACCATGTGAGGACATAGCGAGAAGTTAGCCTCTGCTGAAAAATGCCGTATCTCCTTTCAGAAATGTATGGCGATCACTGAGAAACTAAGAAGATGCTTTGGCTCAGCAGGGCCAAATGCCTTTTTAGCCCACTGCTTAGCTGAAATCCAGCTTCATCCCCAGTGGATCAGGAAAGTTCTCTCAGTTCACCATGTGTGTGGATTAATGGTGGCCCCTGCAAAGGATAAGTCTGTCTACCCAAAACTTGTGAATGTGGCCTTATTTGGGAAAAGGGTCTTTGAGAATGTAATTAAATTAAGGATCTCAAGATGAGATCATCCTGGAAGACAGTGTGCCCTAAATCCAATGGCAAGTGTCCTCAGAAGATAAGAGAAAGGGCAAAGACACGCAGGAAAGAAGACAACGTGGAGACAGAGGCAGAGATTGGAGTGATACATCTGCAAGCCAAGGAACACCAAGGGTTGCCAGCAGCCACCAGAAGCCAGTATAGAAGCATGGAGTAAATTCTCCCTTAGAGCCTCCAAAAGGAACCGGTCCTGCTGACACCTTAATTTTAGACTTCTGGCCTCCACAACTGTGAGAGAATAAATTTCTGTTGTTTAAAGCCACCAGGTTTGTGGTAATTTCTCACAGCAGCCACGGGAAACTAATGCACCATGCTCTTTTAGAGTGGTTGCCAACTGGGCTCTGAGTCCCAAACCACCCACCTGATCTTCCTGGGGTCTTATGAGAACCTCTCTCAAGGCCTGTCAAAGCTGGAGAAAGAAAGCCTTCCGGGGACCCAGCTTGAAGCCAATTTTCTGGCAATTGCACCCACACTCACTTTGAAAATGTGTTTCTTTGAGTTTGGTTGAAATGCACAAGAGCATTACAATTGGAGGGCATCTCTAGCTGGATAACAGTTTTTACAAGAAAACTGGCATGTTGGCTGTTTTCTCTTTTCATTGGAAAAAAAAATAAAACAACATCAGGAAGATCTAAACATAGAAAATGCATCATAAGCCCCCCACTCCAACTCCAGCTGAATATCAGTGGCTGGACAACATCTGTGAAAATGCCCAAATAATCCCAGTGCAGGAAGCCCCACCTGCAGACGGGAACTCTTAATAGCAAAAACTATGACTTTCTGAAAAGAGAGTCTTTGAAAACCAAAAGCTAATTTTTAAATATTTTATAGGAAAATGCCAATTAACCAGAAAAAAACTGCACAGATTTCTTAATTATCAGTATTATTCCTACTACTTACATTAGACTTTGGAGAGAAAAGGCTGCAAATAGCAAGTAGTTGAAAGGAATTATATTTTAAAAATCTAAATGTTAAAGCTGATCTGAGGCTAGGTTCATGTTCTGGGTCATCTTCTATAACTTCTCTATCAATATTATTTTTACAGTATCTTATCCTCCAGTAGAGAAGTTTCTTTTATGGGAATGAAATTTCTTCTCAGCAAGGGAATTTCTCTTCTATTGGAAAAGCTGCCTTCCTTACCCCGTTCCCTCCCTTTCTCTCTACTTTCCTTTCTTTCTTTTGTTTTTCTCCTCTGGGACTTACTTTCCTCTTCTGCAAAATGGGGTTATAGTATCATTTTCATAGGATTGTGGTGCGTATTAAATAATGAATAATGCCTAGTAAACACCCAATATAAACTACCTCGTTGTTGCTATTGTTTTTATTTCCCTCAGAGTCTGGGAGGGCAATGAATGAAATCTGTTTTATCTCTTTCTCCCATCTGGCTTCAAACAGCTTTCAGAGGGTATAGAGTCAGCACAAAATGATCGGTGCTGAGAAGCAGAGAAATCAGGGCATAGAGGGCAAGTTCAGCATCTGGGACAGGGTTTGTGCTCTGTGAGAACGGGTCAGTTGTGGGTCACAAGAAATAATCAGCAAAAACAAGGAGCTCGGGGTGATTCTGCCAGGAACACTGGATACTGCTGAAGCTCCCCTGCTTTAGTGTGCTGGGAGATGGAGATGGCATCACTCAAGGTTTTTGGGATCCTGCAACATCCATCCTACATCCATTAAGTAAATATACGTTGTGCTAGGAACTGCGAATACAATGATGAACAAAATAAGCAGCCCTTCATTTACAGCTTATGTGGAAGGTATATCTAAATCAAATTATCACTCTGTGAGTATCAAATTACTGTCTGTGAAAAGTAGTGTGAAAAGAAAGAAGTGGGTAATGTGAGAACATTTTAGTTAACAATTATTGAACATTTAGTTACCACTTTAAGGATTTCATGTATGCATTCATCCATTTAGTCTTTACAATCAACCTATGAGTTAGATAGTTATTATCAGTGTCGCTATTTTATAGGTAAAGGAATTGATACACAGAGCGGTTAGGTAACCTTTGCAAAATTCATACATCAAGCAAGTAGGAGAGTTGACATAGAAACCCAGGCAGAGTAACAACAGCAGCAGCAGGTGAAGCCATCATGCCATACTGAGTCTTGACAGCACACGAGAGTGGAAGATCTGCCTTAATCAGCAAAAGTGGCAGAATAAGGCTAATGGAACAGTTTCCTGGAGTAAACTAGAGCTGAGTGCCCACAAATGAGTTGGATTACCTAGCACTAACCAGCAGGGCTCTTTCTCGGTTGTAAGCAACAGAAGCTGAAGTTGGCTATTGAAGCATAGAAAGTGTTGGGCTGAAAAAACAAGCTCAAATAAAGCTCTCAGGAACAGTGCTCAGAAGCACACCACAGAACTAGTTGGTTAAAGAAACAGCCTTGGGCCAGGTGCGGTGGCTCACTCCTGTAATCCCAGCACTTTGGGAGGCTGAGGCAGGCGGATCATGAGGTCAGGAGATCAAGACCATCCTGGCTAACAGCGTGAAACCCCATCTCTACTAAAAACACAAAAAATTAGCCGGGAGTGGTGGCAGGCACCTATAGTCCCAGCTACTTGGGAGGTTGAGGCAGGAGAATTGCTTGAGCCCAGGAGGCAGAGCTTGCAGTGAGCCGAGATCACGTCACTGCACTCCAGCCTGGGCGACAGACTAAGACTCCATCTCAAAGAAAAAAAAAGAAAGAAACTGCCTCAACTGCTAATGACCCAATGAGCGTGAGCTTCTGCAGTTCATGTGGCTCCCCACATCCAACTTTCTTGCAATCCTAGCAGACACCAACATCTTGGCAACTTCTGTACCAGAAACTAGACCTTACAAGGACTATCATTCTCAAAAGCTGGATGTCTCTTCTGCCATCCTTACCAGCACAATAGGTTTTGCCTTTGTCAAGCTGTTCCCCTTGAATTAAATTCACACACAGATGAGTCTGACTGGTGGGACACATGTCTGTTCCCTTGCTCCAGAGAAACCTGGGGAATCTCACTCTCTACCTTGGCTAGACAAAACTCATAATGCTGGATATCTTTCAAATGTAACCAATGTGTTCAACAAACGCTAGACAGCCGAAAACATGACAGATGTCTACAGCACTAGATGAAGAACGACAAGAGCAATCCAAGAAAACAAAATAGCATATCTGAAAGCTCAGCTATGGGAAGGGGTCACAACACATTTAAGGAACTTAAAAAAGACAGTTCAGCAGGATATATTATAAAAAATTTATGGGGAGAAAGTCGCAAAGTAGTGCCTGAGACATTCAGCTCCCTTTAAAGATTTTAAAAATTTTGATCTTTATCCCAACAGCAACAACAACAACAACAAAAATCGAAGGGTTTTAAGCAGGGGAGTTACTTTAGCTAATTTGTATTTTTAAAAGATTACTGTGACCTCTGTGGAAAACAGATTTGAGTGTAGCAAGAATGGAATCAAAGAGAGCATTTAGGAGTGATTACAGTAAATCACAACGGAGATGATGAGAGGTTGGTCTTGGGTGGCTTAAGTGAAGATGGAGCAAACCAGATGGATTCAACAGAGGAGATATTCAGATAAAAATCAACAAGATTCAGCAATTCACTGACTATCAGTGCAGAAGGAGATAAGAAAGCAAAGTTAGCACAATTTAATGAATATTGTCAATGTCTGAATTAGAAAATATTGAACACAGATAAGTTTTAGGGGAGTGGCAGGGAAGATAATGAATCAAACTTTGGTTATGATGACTTTACGTTACCTTTTTTGACCTCCAAAGAAAGAGCTGAAAAGGTAATTGCATAAACAGATAAAGAGCTCAAAGTAGAGTCCGAGATGGAGGTGGAAACTTTGGATAATGATGGGGAGATGGTAATTGAAATCATGGATGTTGAATAGAATTTAGAGAATAAGAAAACAAGACTTTGGTACAAGCCTTACAGCATTCCAGCTTTTAAAGACAGGCTGGAAAAGGGAGACAGAGAAAGAGGGCCAGAAATACCCCCAGACCCTTAAGCTGATAAAATCACAAGAGATGCTTTCTGTGGATATGATTTTACAGAAGTCACACAGCCAATACAAGGAGAATCTGAGGATAGAACCAAAGGCTGTCTGACTCCAAAGCCCATGATCTTTCCATATGGATAACATTGAAAGATTGCAAATCTAGAATACAAGGACTAGAAGTGACAAGCAAGAGTCAAAGCCACTATGGGAGGAACAATGCTAGACCAAGTGGAGAGCATGAAGTGGTTGGAAGTGGGAGAAGCACCTGGAACACCAGACCCCTAATAGCAAAAATCCTTCTATGACCTTCAAAGTCCTATATGATGAGGCACTGCTCTCTACTTGCCATTTTCCAGGGACACTGAGATCCTTTTTCTTCTTGGAATGTGCCAGCTCTTGACCATCTCATGGCCTTTACACTAGCTTTTCCATCTGCCTGGATCATTCTGGATCAATCACTTTATGATCCTTTGTTGCCATTAAGGTCTTAGTTCCAATTCAACCTTAGTTAGTCTTTTCTAACTCTCCAGTTTAAAATTCTATTCCTAACCAACCCATTCTCTCTCATGTCATCATGTATCGTTTTCTTTGTGGCCCTTACCATTAAAATAAAGTGTTTTCTTCATGTATTTACTCATGTTGTATTATTTTCCCCCAGAAGATGGAAAGGCTCATGAGAAAAAGAGATCATATTCATCTATTCTTTTTAATATACCCCACCCTGAGAACAATAAGTAGCACATAGTAGAGGCTAAGTAAACACTTGCTGAAGGAACAAGTGGGAGAGGGAGGGAAAGAGATATGAGAGGAGAAGGAATGAAAGAAAGCAGGGAGGGAGGGAGAGAGGAAGGAAGAAAGGGAAGGAGCAAAGAGGGATCATCTTAACATGACTTTAATAGGACTCTGGTCTCACTATTCCCATCTGGGTGGTGGAATCACAGCATCTCCAGGCTGAACAACAAAGGCTTCGGTGGCCATTGATTTCAAGTCCTTATCCAGCATCTTAATCTCTGGATTAAGATGGACTACCACTGCCGGTAGTCTCCGTCTCCCATCACAACCAGCCTCTGCTTCCAGTCCCAACCTGATGATTTCAACTCTCCATCCATTCAGACCAAGTATTCCCCATCGCTTACCACTGTCCTTCTACTTTATGACACTGCCTAAAAGCTCCTCCACTGTCTCAGTGGCTGCTACCACACTTCCAACTCTGATTCCCAATGCTTCTCAAGAACTCTCTATTTGGCCCTTGGCTGCATTTCTGGGCAGTCCTCTTGAGTGTTTTCCTCTTGATCTGTTAACTCTGAAAGCTTCAGATATTCTGGGGTAATAGCACCACACTCTCCTGGGCACAGCCTGAAACTTGAATGGTGTCTCCCTGGTCCTGGGAGTCCCTTAGGTTACCATAGTACAGATGGAAGAAAACATTTTCCATCATGTGATTTTATCCCTAGGCCTAAGATACACACTTTGAAATAGCTACCACTTTTTAGTCCATAAGAATATTGATCTACTTGTATATAGAAATAGTTCATTTTGGCCAGGCACGGTGGCTCACTGCGGTAATCCCAGCACTTTGGGAGGCCAAGGCGGGTGGATCACCTGAGGTCGGGAGCTCGAGACCAGCCTGGCTAACATGGTGAAACCCCATCTCTACTAAAAAATTAAAAATTAGCTGGGTGTGGTGGCATGCACCTGTAGTCCCAGCTACTCGTGAGGCTGAGGCAGGAGAATTGCTTGAACTCGGGAGGTGGAGGTTGCAGTGAGCCGAGATCAAGCCACTGCATTCCAGCATGGGCCACAGAGTGAGACTCCATCTCAAAAAAAAAAAAGAAAAAAAAGAAAGAAAGAAAAAAGAAAAAAAAGAAAAAAAGAAATAGCTCATTTCTACCAACCAAAGACACCTAAGAATATCCCCAAAAGAAAGTAGCTGATACCCTGGAGAGAAATATCAGAGTCTCATATTTCTGTACTCAAGTAAGAAGTTAAGTTCTAGGTTCTATGACTCCAGAAATGGAAAAATAGTTACCATGGGTAAATTTTAAAATGGCAACACTGAATGTGGCGGCAAAAGAAAAATATGTAGTTTTACCATAAAACTAATTTAGGTATTTCAAATTATAATTTATTAAACTGTAGCCTGAATTAACAAAATAATCTTTACACTTTCTTCTTCTTACTTTCATTCTCCATTATATCCACAAATTTTTATTAAGTAATGCTATGGTTTCCACATGTTCCCCAAAAAGCATTTGTTGGAAACTTGATCCCGAATGCCTCAGTATTGGGAGATGGGGCCTAATGGAAGATATTTATATCATTCTCTCTCTCTCTCTCTCTCTCTCTCTCCCCCCCAACCCTCACTACATGATGGCTTCTGCCATGTTATGACATAGCAAGAAGGTCCTCTATCTTGGACTTCCCATCCACCAGGACTGTAAGAAATAAGTCTCTATTCTTTATACATTAACCAGTCTGAGATATTCTGTTATAACAGCAGAAAATGGACCAAAATAAGCATCTAGTACTATATACAATTTATTGTTTCAGGCAGAGTGACTCCTATATAGGAGGAAAGAAATTTGACATAGACTTTTCCTTTAAGGCAAGTAGACTCCAAAGACCACACATAGGTTTTCTTGCTATGTACATTCATTCAATATCTTTCACTTTCTTTTTGTAACATATGTAAGACATAATTAACTATATTTTCAATGTCTGTCTTCTACTTCAGATTCTAAGTTCCAGGAGTGCAAGAATTCTGGGGCTCTTGCATTCTCAAGTCTTAGCACAGTGGCTAGTAAAGGACAGGTGCTTACTGAATATAGTCCAAATGAACAAATGGCTACAAATATATATGATATTGAATATAATGTCAGCAGTATAAGAGTAGATGAAAGACGCTTCCTAAAACGGCAAGATTTTCCCCTTGACCAAGATGACAAAATTCAACTTCAACTTTTTCAAATAACCATAAAGAGATATGAGATTTAACCTTCTTCCATTCTGATCAACTCACTGCCCATTTTCTATGTTAGGAAACAGAACATCTTCTTGTGATCACTGGACTTCAAAACCAAGTCTCTTGTCAATAACTGCTATTTGTGTATATATACATATATATATATGTGCAATAAATACTGAATAAATTATATTAAATGCCTCTTAAAAGACATTCTCAGAGGAGTCAATGCCACCCTCTGTTACAAAAGGAGAGGCTGTGTTAGCATTGTTCTCACCACTACACCACAAAAACACCTCAAGTACTTATGGACAGCTGTCACAGTAATTGCCTAGAGTTGAGAGAGATAGGAAAATTAGTACAGCTGAGAAGAAAGAGCAATGACACCTCTTTAAAATGCTACCGTGTAAGTTTTCATATTGCTGGCACCAAGTTCAAGCCCAGGTGGGCAAACCTCACCCAGACTGTCCATCCTGACCTAATGTACAAGTCTCGCTAGTCTGCTTTTTAAGGACAAGGAAGGACACTGCTTGGTGATATGGCCACAAGCTGTTCAGGGAAGAGACTTTGCTCAGCACATTTCAGCTACTGAGCAGGGCTGGGCTCATTTCAGAGAGCCACATAAAATAAATAATCATGCAAAAGCAGATTCGTTCTGATAGGGCTCTGACAGCTGCTCCGAGAGGTGGGTCCTTGCAAGCCCATCTTTCAACAATGAACTGACCCAAAGATCCAGGAAAGCTCCAGACAGGACCATATGGCCTGGAATAAAAACATATTTCAAACTCTGTTTATTATGCATATCTTTCAAAGGTTCACTACTCTGTGAGGAAACATTGCACCTGCAAGGCTTTAATAAGCTTCCCAACCAAGTACAATTATAAAATCTCAGGCACCTGAAGAATTTGTCTTCTCTTATATTTAGCCATGCACTGCCCACAAATGACTGGTCTCATTATTTTTAATTATATGGGTTTGCAGTATTTTGTAAGCTGCGATCAATACTTATTCAGAAAATAAAACTCCTTATAGGCCTCAGAATAAGAGCCATGATATATATCTCTCCTCCTAAACTCTGGAGACTCCAACATCGCATACAAAACCCTCCAGTCTTCCTGAAAAGAAAAAGAAGCAATGCAACTGTGCAGCCCTGGAAAGACAGGAGAGCATTTGACATACATTTAGGCTGAACATCATTCGTCAGGAATGTCAGGGGCGGAGGGGATATGAGCAGCTTTCCTTCACAAGTGAGCCCTGTGACTCCACATCTGGTCCAAATATGTGAGAAGCACAGTTTGTTCATTATCACTCCACAAATATCCATTTGAGCAGTTATTATGTGCCAGACTCCAGGCTAAGGGTGATGATTTAGAGATAAATGGCACGTAGTTTCTGCCCTCAGCTATAAATGGTCTCATTGGAAAAGTAGACCCAAAAGAACTGGTCTGGAAACACAGAGAAACAAGAGCTATAAAAGAACTTGAGGTATGGGCCTGGCACGGTGGCTCATGCCTGTAATCCCAGCACTTTGGGAGGCTGAGGCAGGCGGATCGTGAGGTCAGGAGTTCGAGACCAGCCTGGCCAATATGGTGAATCCCTGTTTCTACTAAAAATACAAAAATTAGTTGGGTGTGGTGGCACGCACCTGTAGTCCCAACTACTCAGGAGGCTGAGGCAGGAGAATTGCTTGAACTCAAGAGGCAGAGGTTGCAGGGAGCTGAGATTGTGCCACTGACTCCAGCCTGGGTGACAGAGCAAGACTCCCTCTCAAAAAGAGAAGAAAAAAAAAAAAAGAACTTGAGGTACAAAGGAAGGGATCACTTAGCCCTTCTGGGAAGTTCATGGACAACTTTCCAAAGGAAAGGGGATTTGAATAGAATCTTGAAAAATAAATGAGGGTCTGCCAGCTAGTTATTAAAGAGAAGGTATGAGTTACATTGGGGTTGAAACTATGTTCATGTGTCATTTTCACTGACCTCTCCCAAGGCCCTGGGCA
The DNA here is from genome assembly GCF_000001405.40 of Homo sapiens. NCBI lineage: Eukaryota > Metazoa > Chordata > Mammalia > Primates > Hominidae > Homo > Homo sapiens. The sequence continues at coordinate 124,125 of NW_025791774.1, read as the reverse complement.
GTGTGATCCACTTTGAAGCCCCAAGTGCTGTTTCCACCTCTGTCTTTAATTAGCTTATCCATGAACAAGACATGTGTATCTGTGAGTGTTCACATGATTAAATGACTGGTTTGGAATGGATGATTATTATAGATCCACTGCACTCAAATCTCTTCCCAAACTAAGAGTCTACATAAAATTTGAAACCCTTTTATTTATTTACTCTAAACAGTGTACAGTGGTACCTGTTAAGATTTTAAGTATGGATTTTATATAAGATGGCTTAGCCTAATCATTATGCACAATGATATAGTGGCTGAGTCTTTCCTGCTAAGATTCTTTTTCCCCCGAACCACTTGTTCAACATCAAAAGAGCCTTTGACTTGTGTCATAGAAGGATATCATACTTTTACTATAAAATGAAGAATGTAGAACCAATAGCAATAGATGAAATGAAGATTTTAACTACAAAATTACATGGTAGACCTGGAGACACATAAAAGAAGTAAGTGTTGCTTCCTAGAGGCATTGATGATGGCATCAATAACATGCAAAAAGATGAGCTTCTTTGACTAAGGGTTGTTATTTGGGAAACATATTGAGGGGAAGGAAGGGAAGGGGAGGGGAGGGGAGGGGAAGGGAGGGGAAGGGAGGGGAGGGGAAGGGAGGAGAAGGGAAGGGAAGGGAAGGGAAAGGAAAAGAAAGGAAAGAAAGGAAGGAAGGAAGGGAGGGAAGAAGGGAGCAAGGAGGGAAAGGTTGGAGGCAGGGAGGAACATTTACTTACACAATCAACAGTATTTCTAAACTCTTTTTATCTCTAAGCTCTCAACAAATATGTAGCCATGATACTATCTTTCAATGCTTTTCAGATTCAAGGAGAACATGAGAAGATTGCCAAAGATGGCACCTGATACTTCCCTTGCACATGATACTTCCCTTGCACATAGAAGAAAGAACAGCTCTTATTTGTTGCTAAAACCCATGCTATTCACAACAACCCTTAAAGAGTGATGCTGTTAAGTCCATTATATGGACACAGAAAATGAAGTTCAAAGAAAGTAAATATGTTCAAAGTAATTAAGAAAAATGGGGCCGGGTGCAGTGGCTCACACCTGTAATCCCAGCACTTTGGGAGGCCGAACCGGATGGATCACAAGGTCAGGAGTTCAAGATCAGCCTGGCCAATATGATGAAACCCACCCCCTACTAAAATTACCAAAATTAGCCAGGCATGGTGGTGCATGCCTGTAGTCTCAGCTGCTCGGGAGGCTGAGGCAGAAGAATCGCTTGAACCCGGGAAGTGGAGGTTGCAGTGAGCTGAGGTTGCGCCACTGCACTCCAGCCTGGGCAACGGAGTGAGACTCCATCTCAAAAAAGAAAAAGAAAAAGAAAAGTGGTAGAGAAAGGATTGAAATCCAGCTGTCTGCCTCCAAAATCCATGCTCTTTCTAAGACCCTATCTTGCCCTTTTGCTGATTAATCTTCATCAGCGTTCATGCCCCAGTTTAAGATGTAAAGGATCGCTGGTATTTTATTTATTGTACTTATGCTTTAAAAGACTGTTGATCACAGCACTGCAGGTGGCCATGGCAAATGAGGTGACACAGGAACTCTAGACAGGTGCCTTGCACTGAGCATGTGACTGACAGTGACATGCCAACTAGCATCTCTCCTTATTTGACCTCCCTGTCTTTTATATATCAGTTATTCTTTTCTGGTTTTGAATATTAAAAAGACAAAAATATTCCTAAAAGGCATAAGCAGAAAGGGAGAAAGATTAGAAAATGTGCATGGGAATTAAAAACCTTGTATTTCACTGTGAACTGCAGGGCAGAGAAAACCATCAGACAGAGGGAGAGGAGATCAACATTTTTTTTTCCTCTGGGTCATGCCAGGACTCTTTAAGGCTGTGAGTTCCATTGTTTTACCTTATATTTACCTTGTTGGATTTTAGTAAATGCATTCTATTATGAGCTACTTCAGTGGGGTCAAGGGAATCCATAGACCAGCTCTCCCACCAATTTCACTGACCACGTCTAATAGCAACTATCTTGAATGAAGGATTAAGTTTACTCCAATTTTGGAGCTAATAAGACAGTAGAAATTCACATTCACTGGGTGTTTACAGGATACCAAGCAGCAAAGCATTGATTTAAAAGTTTAATATGCATATTTCATTTAGGTTTTCCAAAAATAAGGAAGGCAGATACTGTCCTATAAGGCAGATACTATTTGTAGTCCCATTTTACAAGTTGACAAAACTTATGCAGAGAGAGGTTGTGTCATTTGCTCAAAGTCATTTATTTAGTAATAAATCTCAAGTAGGGTCTCTTCTTGTTGAGTAGAGCAAATTGGCAATTTGGACATAGTTCTTGAAAGGCAACTACATAATCTTATTTTTTATTAATTATAATGTTTATTTTTTCATTCAATCAATGTTTATTGTTTTTTTTCCCAACCCACTAGGAATCCAGAAATAAGTAGAATCCTGAAGGTTTCCTCCATAAAGGGACAGAAGCATAAAGGAGCAGCTACAGTACCATGTGATCAGATCAGAGCAAATACTGGGCTGGGTGCAATGGGAGCAAAGAGGAGGGACATTTAACTCAGCCAGGGTGTTGAAAGGGACTGCCAGAGAAGGTTTCTTTGGAGTAGGTGCTAGATGTAAGATGCTAGAGTAATCTTGAAGGGTAAGTAGAAGAGGATGGGAAGGAAAAGGCCAGAAAGCACAAGAAAGAGACAAGGACACTGTATCAGCAGGGTTCTCCAGAGAAATGAAACCAATAGGAAATATATATGAGGGAGAGAGAGATTTTTAATAAGGAATTCGCTCATGTGATTATAGAGGCTGAGAAATCACAAGATCTGCAGTCAGCAAGCTGCAGACCCGAGGGAGCCGATGGGAAAGGTCTAGCCTGAATGCAAAGGCAGGAGAAGATGGATGTCGCCAACTCAGAGACAGTAAGGCGGAAAGAGCAATTTCTCCCTTACTCAGCCTTTTTATTCTACGGGTGCCTTGGACAAATTAGATGAGGTCCACCCACATTGGGGAGGCAACCTGCTAGACTCAGTCCACAATTCAAATGTGAATCTTGTCTAGAAACACACTCACAGACACACCCAGAATAACGTTTAGCAAAATATCTGGGCATCTCATATCCTAGTCAAGTGGACACATGAAGTGAACCGTAACAGATATATTCTGGGAGCTATATTTAATTTGGTGTGACAAAGGTAAAAGGTATCAGCAACCCTAAGGAAGTTAATGGAAGCCATGGCATGGAAGGCCTTGCTTGCCATGCTAAGACATCAGAACTTTACACTGAAGGCAATGAGGAACCACTAGGGAGTTTTAAGAAAGGGAATGGCAAGACTGAATTTGTACTTTTGAACAATCATCCTGCCAGCAGACTAGAGACTGGAGGCAGGAGGCCAATTAGGAGGCTGCTAAAGCCCTATCTTAAGGAAGTTGCAACGGAATAGGAAGAAGTGGCCAGATGCTAGAGATATCAACAAATCTTAAGGGCCAACTAATGGGAAAAAAGAGCTTAAGATGACTCCTAGTTTAATAGTTGTGTCATTGGGTTAATACAAAAGAGAATTCAATAGAAGAACCAGTTTTAGGGAATTAATGATGATAATGAACATGAAGCTTTACAGTTTGCAAATGAAATTGATAGATGTTAATTATTTTGTGACTATTCCTTTAAACAGCCCTGTGAAGTTGGTGTTTTTCTCACTTCGGATGAGAACTCTAAGCTGAAAGAGTAAGTGACTTGCCCAAGCTCCCAATCATAGTAAATGGAATAATCAGAACCTGAACTCTTTTCAAAGCCCATTTTTTTCCACTGCACTATCTGATACAAAGAATAATAATAAAAAATAATAATGAGATAGCTAATATGTGTTGAATGCCTATTGTGGCCTGGCCATTCTTCTAAGTACCTTATTTTTATCAACTCTTAACACTCGCAACAACCCCATAGGGTAGGTATTATTGGGTATTATTGTTAGCCCCATTTTATAGAAGAAACACATGGGGTACAAAGAGGTGGCAGCAATAAACTGTGTCACTTGGGACAAATGATCTACATGTTACAGTTTCCCCTTTGGGCAGGATCTAGGATAATGGTGGTAGAACAACAGAGTGGTAAAGCTGAGTGACTTGGCCCCTTTCACAGGAGGCATGCTTCTTTCAGAGCACATGAACTGAGGGAAAACCCAGACACAAGCCCCCATTGTTTTCACCCATAAATGAAAGGTGAGAACTATTTCCCCACCCCACCCCCAGCTTAAAAGCTTACACCCTAGTACACCCAGGACCACCTTGCTGGGCTCCGAGTCCTGAGTTGAAAAACTACCTATTGGCCACTATGCTCACTACCTGGATGACAGGATCATTCGTACCCTAAACCTCATGACACACAATCTACCGATGTGACAAACGTGCACATGTACCCCATGAACCTAAAAGTTGGAAGAAAAAAAAAAAAGAAAGAAAGAAAGCTAGAGCCAGGCTCTGTTCACCCAGTTTGAGTTTTAAATAGAGAATCATTTTCCAGCAGCATTAATGTGCTTGGCTGTGTGATCCTGGAGTGGGATAAACAACTGCAGGCTTGACTGCCCGATATGTCAGCCCGAGGAAATAGCCCTCTGGAGGACACCACTCACCCCAAGCCCATTAGCCAATTACTCAGAGCCCGTTTAGTAAATGAGCTCTTTCAGTGTACTAATTGGAGCCCTGTGAAAGTAAACTTGCAGCAAGAAAGAAGCTGGCTCTCTGTGGTCAGATTTCCCTCTCTGATACACCACAGGATCAGGTATGCTGGATGGGCAGGATGGAGTAGTGGCAAAGACCACTGGCACTAAGCCTTGACTGCTTAGATTCAAATCTCAGTCTTGGTGCTTGCCAGATGTGCAGCCTTCAACAAGATATTCTGTTCTCAGTTTCCTCATCTGTGAAATGGGGATAATTGCATGAGATTTAGCAGTCTCAAATGAGGTAATAAACCTGTGCCCTACATATAGAAACCATTCAGTAAATGTGAACTGATACTATTTACTGTTCTTGCTTATTTATATGCAACAACCCACCTTAACCCAAGAAGTGGGATTAAAAAAAAAGTCAGGGGAGAGAATAAATTTACTCAGGTTTGAAAAAACAAATTTACTCAGGACATTTGTTGTATCCCCTATATCCCTCAATTGGCAATTAAGTTATATTTTATTATTAGTTTGTATTACTATGTAGCTAAGTAACTTTTCATATGCTTGAGCATTAGGTAAGTATTAGATATAATTTTCTCATCAATTTAATTTTATGCTCCTTGGAGACAGGTTTCATGTTCACTTTCATACCACCAGGATCATCTACTCAATAGATATTTTTTTGTTGATTGATATTCTTGATTAAATTTTTGTCATCCCTGTTGAGAATCAGCTGGACTGAATATTGGTGAGTTAGCTCTACTATCCATGAGTACTAACTCTTTGAGATTGAATAATTCCAACCATTTAAGCTCTAGTCATGTTTTGGTATCCAATTAGACAAACGTGCAGTCATATCTTATCTTAGTCCATTCATGCAGCTATAGCAAAATACCTAAGACTAGGTAAGTTATAGAAAACATAACTTTATTTCCTATAGTTCTGGATCTAGGAAGTCTAAGATCTAGGTGCCAGTAGTTGTTGTCTAGTGAAGGCTTTCTTGCTGTTTCCTCACATAGTGGAAGAAAGGACTGGCAAATAAAAAAGATCTAGGTAGTTCCCTTCAGCCCTTTTGAAAGGTTGTTAACCCCATTCATGAGTGTGGAGCCCTCCTACCTTCATCACCTCCTAAAGGCCCACTTCTTAATACCATTACATTGGATCTTAGATTCCAACGTATGAATGTTGGGGAGACACACACATTTAAACCCTAACAGATCCATAGAACAAATCAGTAATAAAATAAGCCAGGAAAAAAGCCTACCTTACTCCTGAGCCAAAGGTGGCTTATTTTATGAGGACTTCAAAACAAAATCGAAGTATATGTATACTAAAGCCTCATAGTCTTAACTCCACTGGAGTTGGGCAACACTTAGCCTAAGATGTAGAATAGTAAATTAAAATCCTGCCTGAATTAACTGGAATTGTCACTGAAGCTATGCAACTTGATCAAATAATTTTACAGTCTACAAAAATTTAAGTCTACTTTAGTATATAAGAATACTACACATTTAGTATTATTGAAACAGCATTACCCCTGTAACCATTTCACAAGTTTGAGTACTTGAAGATCAGTGATTGAAAATTATAATTGTCAGGGTAAATATTGAAGATAATAGTTTTATAATGTAATAAAAGCCAATTTTTAATTTATATTTAATCTCTTTTAAAAGAATAAAAATAGGTTTAAAGAAAATATAGAAAACATATTACATCTTCTGTTTAGCAATATGTAGCAATTAAACAGAAAAGTCAGAAGACTTGTTATTCAAACACATTTCTGGAAAGAGTTAAGTTGCTTCTCATTAAGAAGTTCCTACAGAAAATATTTTTGTACTTTAAAGAAAGATAAGAAAACCTTGAAATAGCTCCTCTTCCTTAGTTCGGTCATTTTCCTGATTCCATAAGCAGAAGCAAATACAATGTGACTAGCTAATTCCCAGCTGTGTAAAGATTTAAATCCATGTCTGAAAACTGAACAATCAAATTATGTAGTAGCACAGTAGCCAGAAATAAACCCAACACATAAATGCGTTTATTCAACATTATTAACACAAATAAAATTCACACCTACAGTCCTGTGCATTAAAAATAACTTCTCCTATATCAAATGGCAACATTTTCTTCTGCCAATCAAATTAAACCACTAGAAACATATGGAAAGAAATCAATTCTATAACAAACCTTTGAAAAGTATGGCATTTATCATGTTCAAGACAGGTTAATTCTATTTCTAAATAAACTTTCTCCTTCTAAGTTAGGGCTTATATTTTTTTTTCTTTCCTTTTCTTTGCTGGACATGTGCTCAACCCAAACATTCTGTCATCCCAGCCATAAAAATCTTCTTTCTCCCACGCTATGTAAATTAAAAGGGAAAAAACAACACAACGCACACACACACAAAAACACAAACCAAACACACACATAATTCTATTAGACCCAGAGAAATCTAAGTGTATTGATTTTAGGCAAAAATGTAACAAAAATCTTATGCCAGGAATGAGAGGCTAAAAATTCTGGTGAGAAATGTTTACAGAAAGAGCCCTGTCCCCTTGTTTTCTGTCAACAACCTCAGAGACTAACTGAAAAATCACCTCTGCAAATCTCTTTGACTAAACGGAAAGCAGCCATTTTTAATGGCCTTCGGAGCCCTAAACTCCACACGGCTCTACAGATGAAAACTGATAGCCTCAAGCAGAGCCTTAGTCTGAACAACAGGTGCATCATCCACACTATCCGAATCATATTCCTAAATTAGCAGCCTCTACAGCCACCATTAACTGACATTTGAAAGACATAGTCAAGATCAGTCTTCCAAATCATGTCCCACAATAGCTTCATCTGCAAGTTATGAGCAGGCAAACAATACAGATGAGGCGAAAAGGAACAATGTCTGCACTAAATGCACACAGAGTGGAATGGAAGGAAAAGAAATGCACAGGGTATACATTTTAGAGCAAAAGGAGATCTTACCAGTTACCTAGTCTGGCCTTGTAGCTTCCATCACATGAGCGTGTGGGAGTAAAAATGTGGAATGCAATAACAGCCCTAGCAGCAAAGAAGAAATGATGTATGGTACCAAATGCCCACAGGGCTTCTCATCATTTGTACAGCTCCCTAGTTATTCCTTACGAAAATGGAAACAGTCAAAACTATTGTGTCAAAATTAAGAGAGGAGCTGGCTTTTCTGTCAGGGATTTGAAATTTGCATTTGGTTAAAACCAGTCAACAGAAACTTTGAAATAAGTTTCTGTGTTTTGTCTCAATTTTACTATATCCACCCTTAATTTATTCATCTGTCATTCACTTATTAAGTCAACAAGTATTTACTAAGAGCTACCAATTGTCAGGTGTCGCCCTGACTGCAGGAGTATAGCAATTAACCAAACAGGAAAAGTCCGTGGGAGAAAACTCAATAAACAAGTACAGATATGTATATATCAGGTGGTGATAGATGATATAAAGAAAAAAGAAATTGGGGTAAGAACTAAGATTGTCAGAAGATGTTACTTTACATGAAATGTTCAAGAAAGACCTTGCTGATAAAATGACATTTGAGATAAAAGTTATAAAAAATAAATAAAAGGAACAAATCCTGAGAATATGTGGTAAGAGCATTCCAGGCAGAGGAAACAGAAAATGCAAAGACCCTCAGGTAAGAAGCATTTTTGACATGTACAAGAACAACAAGAATCCCAGGTTAGATTTAAATGAGCAGAGGAAGAATGAAACAGCAGGTGGGAGAGAGGTAGTGAGGACTAGATCAGTTAAGGGTCTTGTAGGCCACAGCAATGATTTTGGATCTGATTCTCAGAGTGCAATGAAAAGCCATTAGAAGTGTTGTGAGAAGAGAAAAAACATGATCTAACTTGGCTGCCATGCAAAGACTGGACAACTAGGAAGCAAATATAGAACAGGTAGATTAGTTAGGATTCTATTTCAATAGTCCAAACAAAAGATGATGGTGAAGTGGAAGTGTAGTACTAATGGAGATAGTCAGGATTCTGGACAGATTTAGGAGAAACTGATGTGTATGATATAAAGTAAAGAGTCAGTAATAGCTCCATGATTCTTAGCCTGAGCAACTAGAAGTATCATTTATTTGGGCAGAGAAGACTATGAGACAATTCTTCAAATTCCTTGAGAACATGTTACAATTTGAGATGTTTACTAGGACTCCAAGTATAAACGTTGGGTAGGAAGTTGAATGTACAAGTCTGGAGTTCAGGGAAGAGTTTTTGATGGAGTTATAGAAAAGAGAATCATCAGCTTACAGAGTTACCTAAAGCCATGAGACTGGCTGAGATTATCTTGGGAGTGAACATGGATAAAGAAAATTTCTGGAGACTGAATCCTGATGTAGTTCAGTGTTTGGAGGTCAAGAAGAGAGAGATAGGCTAAAGAAGCTGAGAAGAAGCTGCCTGTGAAGCAAGAGGAGAATTAAGAGAGAATAAATTGTGCCTTGGAGGCCAAAGGAAGAAAGTATTTCAAGGAAAAGGGGAACAACTAAGTCAGTTGCTTCCTACAGATAAAGTAAGACAAGGACTCAGGAATCACCATTTTATTGGGCAATTAGAGGTCATTGGTTTTCTTGTAAGAGATGCTTTGTTGAAGCAGTGGGTGCAAAGGCCCTATAGAATGGGTTCAAAAACAGAATGGGGCATAATTACGAATATCTAAGTGTTTTAAAGAAGCTTCCTACACCACAGTTAACCTGGAAATGATACATTCTTGAACACACATTGCATTGCTAGCTTCAAAGGAGATCCGAAGAACACACCCACACTCTCTCATATACACAAAGGAGAACTGAGCAGAAAGAAGCGGCTGTAGGAACTGTGACGGCCACTGTGGGAGTTCCCAGGACACAGGCTGGAATGCCCAGAACCTAGTCCAAAATGCCAATAGTAGGGCCATACAAATAGAGTCAGAATTAGAGCAACAGGAAGAATAAAAAAAGTAGCAATCCAGGCTTGACCTACCACTGGGATTAGCCTGAGATTGAAATACTAAAGTTTCATGATGACCCTTGAAATAGTAACAAGAAAAGGAAGATGAGTCTGAGACTGCATCTTGAGACAAAACTCTTTGGGAAAGAGCTGATATTTCAGGAACAAAGGGACCCCTTGACTGCCAGCAGAAGCAAAGACTTCTCCTTCCTGATGTCTGACTAACCAGCCAAACCCTTTATCACTGTTCATGAGCCTGCATATACTTTACTTCAGGCCACTTCTCTTTTCACACCAAGCAGATGACCAGGTAGACCACCCAAAGCTCTGCCAGTTGGATGGATTTCCCTGTCTTCACATGGCTTTTTCTAGGGCCACTCCTAAGTGGGGCTGTAGTGAAGCAGCCGTCCATTTCAGCTTGCCTCTACACATCCAGCCTATCTATCACATACACTCAATTCTGTTCTCAGATTCATCATCTAGGAATCCAAAGATAGAATAAACACTCCTATTTGAGACCCCCTCTGGGAAATTACCCTTGACAACTGAGCTGGAATCTCTTAGACTTTCATTTCCTTTGTTAACCACTTCAAGGACTACAGTATCACAATCAGGTTTCTGTTATTTTTGGTTGGGTACTCACTAATAAATTCACTAGATGGTGAGCGCCTTGAAGGCAAGAGCTATGTCTTTATTCCAATTTCTTAAGAAATATTATAGTAAATATAGTGGAAATAGGCTCTGACTTCCAAATTTGTTGGATATAAAACCTTCAGAAAGTTATGAAACCTCTCTATGCTTCCACTGTCATATCATAAAAACACGAAAAATACTCATCTTGCAGTTCAGATTTAAGAATTAGCAATAACATTCATATAACATGAGTACAAGGCCTGAGAGAAAGCCCAATAGATGGACCCTTATGTTGTTTGGTGTTATTTGAATCTCTAGAACCTAGCCCAGCACTTGGCTCATAGGTTATAGTCACAAATTTATATTTACTGCATTAAATCAGAAGGAAAAACATCACTTAAAATACCACATTTTTGGACAGATTGACAAATGGGTACAATTCTGAAGGGAAAACTTGGCAGGCAGAGAGTAAAGTCAGTTTATTTGATAAAATTATCATCACTTTAAGAGGTTTTAGACCTGCTTGCTTCATCTACACAGGACTTGTATGGTAGGATGGGGTTAGGGGCAAGGTGGAATCTTATTTTTGCAGCAATCATAGTTAAGACCAAAAAGGCACTGACTCCTGCACTTCCTAAGTTTAGAGAACTGTCAGGAGTCAAAGGCAGGCACTTCCCCACAGAGCTTGCTTCATTTGGGAGCTTTGTTCAACACTCACCACCATGATCACCACCTCAACCTCCATCCAGCTCAGTAGATCTGGCTAGAATAAGAGGCGTAGAGAGGTCACCTTATAACAGTTTTTTGGAGCAGCTGACATCCTTTCTTCTTGGACTTCTCCACCACTGCCTTCTATAATATTGAGGGGACCCAAATGTTCTCCCCACCTCCACTAAGTCAGGGACTGGTGATCATTTCTTGCCTGAAGGGCTGAGCAATGGGATCTTCAGAGTGCTTAATGCTGCAAATATGTAGGGCGAAATGCAGGAGTTGGGCAGCAGAGGTAAGGCAGGCAGTGGTATGGGGCAGACTGCACCCCCACAATTAACCATGGCAAGCATATGGAGATTTTCCTATATGTCAATCAGATGTCAGTGTACAGATGGATTTAAGCACTCCCAAAAGAGCCACTCAATGAGCGAGGGGACCCTGTAGCAAGGGGAGACAGGGTGGGTGGCTTGCCAACTGTGGGTTGAAGCTGACAGGCAGAGGTCAAAACTGAGCCATGATTCTGGGCCAGCAGACTGTGTAGGGCAAGTGTGAAGAGGGCTGTACTATGAGCACCCAAAAGAGGCAGCCCATTGGGAACCTGCCACACAGAAGAGTGACAGCCAGTCAGTGAAGGAAAGCAAATTACAGGGCTCTGGAAAAGCCTGCAAGAAGTCCCTTACACTAAAACGAATGGCTTTTATGTAAATAATGTAATTCAGGTTGTAGATCATCAAAGAATTTGCAAATGTAGCTTTCCACACATGCAACCTAAATTGTCAAAACAACTCAGTGAAAATTTTGTGCATTAAAAATGTCATCATGGGGTGGAGGCCTCTTCATGTCCTCCCTAACTCATTCTATGAAGCCAGCATCAATTTGCTACCAATACCTGGCAAAGGTACAACAAAAAAAGACAACTACAAGCCAATATCCCAGATGAATATAGAAGCAAAACTCCTCAGTAAAATACTAGCAATCCAAATCCAGCAGCACATCAAAAAGTTACTTCACCACGATCAAGTGACTTTATTTCTGGGATGCAAGGTTGCTTCAACATATGCAAATCCATAAATGTGATTCACCACATAAACAGAATTAAAAACAAAATCTATATGATCATCTCAGTAGACACAGAGAAAGCGTTTGATAAAATCCAATATCCCTTCATGATAAAAACCCTCAACAGACTAGGCATTGAAGGAACAGACCTCAAAATCATAAAAACTATCTATGACAACCCCACAGGCAACATCATACTGAATGGGCAAAAGCTGAAACCATTCCCCTTAAGGACTGGAACAAGACAAGGATGCCAAATCTCAACACGTCTGTGCAACATAATTCTGTAAGTCTTAGCCAGAGCAATCAGGCAACAAGAAGAAATAAAAGACATCCAAATGGGATGAGAAGAAGTCAAATTATCTCTCTTTGCTGATGATATGATTCTATACCTAGAAAACCCTAAACACTCTGCCAAAAGGCTCCTAGAACTGATAAACAACTTCAATGAAGTTCCAAGATAAAAAAATCAACATACAAAATCAGTAGCATTTTTATACACCAATAATGTTCAAGCTCAGAGCCAAATCAAGGACATAACCTCATTTAAAATAGCCACAAAAAGAATAAAATACCTAGGAATACATGTAACCAATTAAGGTGAAGATCTCGACAAGGAAACTATAAAACACTGCTTAAAGAAGTTAGAGATTACATGAAAAAATGGAAAAACATTCCATGCTCATGAATTGTGAGAATTAATATCATAAAAATGAACATACTTTCCAAAGCAATCTACAGATTCAATGCTATTCCTCTCAAACTACCAACATCATTTTCCACAGAATTAGAAAAAACTATTCCAAAATTCCTATGGAACCAAAAAAGAATCCAAACAGCCAAAGGAATCCTAAGAAAAAGGAACAAAGCTGGAGGCATCACATTATCCAACTTCAAACTGTAGTCTACAGTAACAAAAACAGCATGGCACTAGTACAAAAACAGATATATAAACCAATGGAACAGATTAGAGAACTCAGAAATAAAGCTGCACGCACACCTACAATCAGCTGATCTTTGACAAAGTAAACAAAAATAAGAAAGGGGAAAGGGCTCTCTAGTCAATAAATGGTGCTGGGATAACTGGCCAGTCATATGCAGAAGAATGAAACTTAACCCTTACCCTTTCAAAATACACAAAAATTAACTCAAGATGAATTAGAGATTTAAATGTAAGACTTCAAACTATAAATATCCTAGAAGAAATACCATTCTGGGAAATACTATCCTGGACATCAGCTTTGATGAAGAATGTATGACTAAATCCTCATGAACAATTACAACTAAAACAAAAATTGACAAATTGGCTCTAATTAAGCTAAAGGGCTTTTGTACAACAATGTGCAAAACTCTGCTTACTCGATAGCATAATCAGACAACTTACAGAATGAGAAAAATATTCACAAACTATGCATCAGACAAAAGGTCGAACATCCAGAATCTATAAGAAACTTAAACAACTCAACAAGCAAAAAAACAAATGACCCTATTACAAAGTTGGCAAAGGGCTGGGCGCGGTGGCTCATGCCTGTAATCCCAGCACTTTGGGAGGCCGACGCAGACAGATCACGTGGTCAGGAAATCAAGACCATCCTGGCTAACACGGTGAAACCCCGTCTCTACTAAAAATACAAAAAAATTAGCCGGGCATTGTGGCACACACCTGTAATCCCAGCTACTCAGGAGGCTGAGGCAGGAGAATCAGTTGAACCTAGGAGGCCGAGGCTGCAGTGAGCTGAGGTAGCATCACTACACTCCAGCCTGGGTGACAGAGCAAGACTCTGCCTCAAAAAAAGAAAAAAAAAGTGGGCAAAGGACATGAACAGACACTCCACAAAAGAATACATACAAGAGGCCAACAAACATACAAAAAATGCTCAGTATCACCAATTGTATTAGACTGTTCTCACACTACTAATAAAGACATACCCAAGACTGGGTGATTTATAAAGGAAAGAGGTTTAACTGACTCACAGTTCAGCATGGCTGGGGAGGTCTCAGGAAATTTGCAATCACAGCAGAAGGGGAAGTAAACACATCTTTCTCCGGATGAACGCAGCAAGGAGAAGTACAGAGGGAGGTGGGGGAGAAAAACTATTTATAAAACCATCAGATCTTGTGAGAACTCACTCACTATCACAAGAACAGCATGCAGGTAACCACCCCCATGATTCAATTACCTCCCACTGAGTCGCACCCACAACGCATGGGAGTTATGGGAACTACAATTCAAGCTGAGATTTGGGTAGGGACACAGCCAAACCAAGTCACTAATCATCAGAGAAATGCAAATCAAAACCACAATGAAATACCCTCTCACACCAGTCATAATGGCTATTAGTAAAAAGTCATAAAATAACAGAAGTTGGTGAGGCTGTGGGGAAAAGGGAACGCTCGTACACTGTTGGTGGAAATGTAATGTAAATTAGTCCAGCAATTGTGGAAAGCAGTTTGGAGGTTTCACAAAGAACTAAAAACAGAACTACCATTCAACTCAGCAATCCCATTACTGAGCATGTACCCTAAGGAAAATAAATCATTCTACCAAAAAGACACATGAAGTCATATGTTCATCACAGTACTACTCACAATAGTAAAGGGACAGAATCAACCCAGGTGCTCATCCACAGTGCATTGAATAAAGAAAATGTGGTACATATGAACCATGAATGCTATATAGCCATAAAAAATAATGAAATTATGTCCTTTGCTACAAGTTGGATGTAGCTGGAGGCCATCATCCTAAGCAAATTAACACAGAAACAGAAAACCAAATACCACATGTTCTCACTTATAACGGCAAGCTAAACACTGAGTACTTATGGACATAAAGATGGGAACAGTAGACATTGGTGGCTACTAGAAGAGGGAAGGGAGAGAGGGGCAAGGGCTTAAAAAGTACCTATCAGGTACTATGCTATCAGTACCTGTGTGATAGAATCATTTATATCTCAAACCTTAGCGTCACACAATACACCCATGTAACAAATATGCACATGTGCCCTCTCAATCTAAGATAAAAGTTGAAAGTATTTTAAAAAAGAAAAAAAAATGACATTATCAGAGACTCTGATTAAATAGGAATAGCATTAAGTTTTCCTTTTATAGAATTAAATCAAAATAATTCAACAGAATTTTTATGACAGTTCTCATTATACACACACAGAGAGAGAGAGAGAATAAGAGTATTTGCTTACTTTATTTTTGTGGTTTTTTAATTATGCAAATTTTTGAAATTAGGCAAAACTATCACTTTCAAAAATTTACAATTTATTTTTAATCATATATATGAATAACCTAAGAAATGTCCTTCTCTGTTGGAGGATAATCAGAATGGTGTTAAACTGCCTCTACTTTTCTAACTGTGATTCCATGGGCATGCCACTTAGTTTTTCTGAGGTTACATCTTCATGAAAAAGTTGAATTATAAACAGGGGTGCTAATCCATAGACTTAGACAGTCTTTTGGGGGAGGGTTCTTCCTTACATCTTCTCCTTCCCATTCTGTTATTACCAGAAGATATCCTGGAATCCACTTGTGACTGTCTCACAGCCATACAATGGTTTTGCCTACCTTACACCTATCTTCCAACAGCCACTCCACATTCTCTGGAAAAACCATTCTGTTCACACTCAGTGCACATGATTTCAATGGGCTCCGAGTTCAAGTACGGACACAAACCCTTTTACAGGTCAATCACTCTTTTCTAAAACTAAAGTCACAGTGATTGCTCTAAAGATGGACTCCTGACTCAAACTGTCTAATCAGAGGTAAGCCAACGATTGGCTGGAGAAGTGACAGGAAGTTTTTCCCTTTTCTCTGGTCTTGAACCTAAAGGATTTAAGCCCGGATCAGGTAACAGCCACACAGAGAGAGCCTAGGAGTTGAAAATCCACATAAAAGCTGAGCCACGAGATGGAAAAGAAACATCCCTTGGAGCCTCCGGGTCCTGCTAATTTGAAGAGTTGTTCTTGGACTTTTCAGTCACTTGAGGAAATAAATTTCCCCGTTTCTTAAACCAGATTCTAAGTTTTGGTAACTGAAAGAGCTGTATCTGATATGTACAGTCTATAGGTTGACTGTTCAGTCTAGTACAAAGATGCTCAAATATTTATAATATATGTAGATAATGTGTTAAATAAAATATGAATTGATATAAATTTTTTAAGTGTTTCTATTAGGATTTTCTCAACAATATATAGTACAAGAATAACTAGAAAATTTTAGCAGTCCCTTCAAATTCTAAAACTCTATGATGTTTAAGAGCTTTTGCATTACATAAATCAAGGTATAAACCTGCATATAAAATGGTACAGAGGACATTTGTCCTCGGTGATTAAACAATAAGCAGCTGTGTTCCTTTGCATGATATTGTGAAATGCAATAACTTTGAGACAATGATGTTACATTTTGGGATTTGCAGATTAGAGACATGGAAATAAGATTGTGAATTCTAAATAAGACCAAAAATAATTTAAAAATTCAGAAGATGCCTTTTTAAAAATCCTTCTTTTGGTACTAATGGAGATTTCACACTGGGTAACATAAATCACCAACGTGCTAATTAAGCTGTGTTTTTCACTTTAAGGTCTTTTTGTGCTTCCCTTAAAGTGATAACAAATGGAACATCATCATTTTCTTGAGATCTGAGATCAAAATGTCCACAAGCAATATACAGTTGTAGTGATACAACAGCAAGCAAAAAAAAAAAAACAAACAAACAAACAAAAAAAAATGCTTTAAATATCACCTACCACAGACTTGGAATATAAAATGTGAAATTTGCAGAGGCATGACTAATGGAGTGATTTCTATTTTTTCAGCAACTGAATACCCAGCCCATGAACCAAGCACATATAATACTTAGAAAACAGTCTTAGAGAAAACTGACAGATATATAGGGTATTTTATCTTGTATTATATGATTTGTAGAAGTAATCTCAACTGGAAGTACTTCAAAGAAGGGCATTAAACAAGTGTAAAATAACTAATCTACAAGTATTTATTAAGCGTTTGCTATGTAGCCAGCCAAATCCAAGGTGACTGAGGAGGAAATAAGAAAGGGAAATCTAACGACCCTGTTGAGAGTAACCTGCTAACTGTGTCCCCCTCTTTCAGCCTCTTCCACTTCAAACCACTAGACCCATGGCTGCCAGGCTAATTGGCTGAAAGCACAGCTTGACTCCCTTTGATCTTCTATGCAAGTATCTTTAGTGGTCCCTTGCTGTACTACGTACATTCTCTCCCTCTCTCAGGTAGGCATAACATAGTCCCAGCCTTATTTCCAGCCTTATATCCCAGTATTGCCCTTTGAGTGACAATAGATGAAGGTTAGCACTTTTATTTAAAAAGAAGTTGGTTCCAGAATGGTTATGACAATGACAACAGTGGCAATGAAGAAGAGGAGGAGAAAGAAGAGACCAACATTCTTCGATTGGTTACCATGTGCTGAGTATTAGGCATATGCTAAGTATTTAACATCCATAAGTCTCATAACCCTATAAACTGAGTACTATTATCATCTACTTATTTTATTGAGGTAAAATTCACCTGACATAAAATTCACCATTTTAAAGTGAATTAGTATAATTACAATGCTGTGCAACCACCACCTCTATCTAGTTCCCAAATGTTTTCATTGTCCCAAAAGGAAATGTCATACCCATTAAGCAGTTAATTCTTAACTGCTCACTCTTCCCTTCATCCAGCCCATGGCAACAACAAATTTGCATTCTGTCTCTATGTCATCCCGATTTTACAAATGAAGAAATTCAGTGTAAGAGGTTAGGCTACCTGTCCAAAGTCTCACTACTAAAAATAATAAATCTTGGGTTCTGTCTCCTTCCTCAAAATAACTAAGGTATATGTATTAGGGCTCTCTAGTAAAACAGAACTAATAAGATATATGTACATATGAAAGGGAGTGTGTTAAGGAGAATTGACTCACACGATCACAAGGTGAAGTCCCACGATAGGCCGTCTGCAAGTCGAGGAGCAAGGAAACTAGTGGTGGATCAGTCGGAGTCTCAAAACCTCAAAATTAGGGAAGCCAACAGTGCAGCCTTCAGCCTGTGGCCAAAGGCCTGAGAAGCCCTGGCAAAACCACTGGTGTAAGTCCAAATGTCCAAAAGCTGAAGAAATTGAAGTTTGATGTTCAAGGGCAGGAAGCATCCAGCATGGAAGGAAGATGAATGCTGGAAGACTCAGCAAGTCTGCTTTCCCATCTTCTCCTGCCTGATTTATTCAAGGGGAGCTGGCAGCTGATGAGATGGCGCCCACCTAGACTGAGGCTGGCTCTGTCTCTCCCAGTCCACGGACTCAAATGTTAATCTCCTTTGGCAACACCCTCACAGACACACCCAGGAACAATACTTTGCATCCTTCAATCCAATCAAGTTGACACTCAATATTAACCATCACAGTATGAGGCTTTTTGAAAAACAATTTCCTGAAGAATAAACTTACCATGAATACAGGCATCAGAGAGAGGATGAGTGATGCACCTTGAGGACCTAAAACTATAAAAGACGCAAACCCTCCACTGCCCCAAGGAGAGAGCATGCAATGGGCTAAAGATGCTTCACTGGCAGCTTTCATTACACTGAGGGCCCCTAAAGCTTCCTTTCTAACCAGCCATGGCCCTCACACTTATGTATTTATGAAATATGCATTGAGAAGCTACTAAGAGCCCAGTGTGTGGTTCTCGGTCAGCTATAATCACAGTCTGCTGAATATTATGTGCCTTTAAAACCTTGCAGAAGGGACCAAGTTCACAACAAAACATAAGCCTATACATGCCATGCTTAGAAAAACTGCCCATTTTGTTTCTCTCATGTGGGATCCCAGTTCATTTGTAGAATATAAAATGCCTTCTATGACAGATGTAAATAACCCAATCGATAATATAATATGCACACTGTGATATTATAATATGGAATTAAACGTTATGATCATTTAATAAAAATCTAGATATAATATTAGAGATTTATTTTAAGAAATCAGTTCACATGATTATGTCCAAAATTTGCAGGGAAATGTTGATGTTGCAGCCCAAATCCAAAGCCAGCCTGGAGGCAGAATGCCTTCAGAGACCTTAGTCTTTCTCTCTTAAGGCCTTCAACTAATTGGGCAATTCCCATCTGCATTATGGAGGGTCACCTACTTTACTCAAAGTCTACTAATTTAAATGTTAGTCACATCTAAAGTACACCTTTACAGCAACATCTACACTAGTGTTTGACCAGACATCTGGGCACCATAGCCAAGCCAAGCTGACATATAAAATTAACCAATATACTACCTGTTGTAGATTAAACTGGATCTCCCAGAAATGTATATGGTTGACACCTTAACCCCCAATGTAATTATATTGGGAAATATGCCCTTTAAGGAGTTAATTAAGGTGAAATAAGGTCATAAGAGTGAGGTTCTGGGCCGGGTGCAGTGGCTCACGCCTCCCAGCACTTTGGGAGGCCGAGGCAGGCGGATCATGAGGTCAGGAGATCAAGACCACCCTGGCTAACACAGTGAAACCCTGTTTCTACTACAAATACAAAAAATTAGCCAGGCGTGGTGGCAGGCGCCTGTAGTCCCAGCTACTTGGGAGGCTGAGGCAGGAGAATGGCATGAACCTGGGAGGCGGAGCTTGCAGTGAGCCGAGATCATGCCACTGCACTCCAGCCTGGGCGACAGAGCGAAATTCTGTCTTAAAAAAAAAAAAAAAAAAGGGGAGTGAGGCTCTAACCTAATAAAACTGCTGTCCTTAAAAAAAGAAGAAGTGATACCAGGATGCACAAGAACAGCGGAAATGCCATGGAAAGACACAGGGAGAAGGCAGCCACTCACAGCCTTTCCTCTGTGCAAGCCAAGGAGAAAGCCTTCACCAGACACCAATCCTGCCAGCACCTTGATCTTGAACTTCCAACCTCCAGCACTGTGAGAAAATTAATTTCTGTGGTTTAAGCCACCTACTCTTTCGTACTTTGTAATGGCAGCCATAGCAAACTAACACACTCCCCAAATCTCTTCCCAAGGGAGCAGCCAGAGATCCACTTAGAATGTACATCAAATTCTGTCCCTCCTCTGCACAAAACCCTCCAAAAGCTCCTATTTCAAAGTAGAGGCCATTGTTGTTAAAGGTCTGCCTGGTCCTCTGGAATCTCATCATCCAGGTTTCCTCTCTCCCACTGGTGACCTCTCACTGCTCACTCATACTCTTCCCCCTTACCCACGCCACTTGAGCCACAGGGGCTCCCTTGCTGTCCCTGGGCCATGTCAAGCCAGATCCCAACTCAGAGACTTTCTTCTGGTGCTTCCCTCTTTCTGGAAGCTTTTCCTCAGATGTTTGTACCCTCAGCTTCTTGAAGTCTATCTTCAAAAGGCCCCTACTAGGTGAGACGTGTATAACCAGCCCCTAGCCTCCAATCCTCCACTCTCTGCTCTTAGCATCTCCTGCCTCTTGTCCTTGCTCTTCCTCATTAATCCCCGGAGTAAATGCTATTATTGCCTCTATTTTACAGATGAAGAAACTGAGGGACAGAAAGATTATTAATAATTACCTTGCCCTTGCTTACTAGCCCCAAAGTGGGGAGACCAGGAGTTGAACCCAGGCAGTCTTACTCTAAGTTCATGTTCTTAACTACTCCATTAGGCTATGTCTCTGGCTGTTTTCGGGGAGAGAAGGAAATGCCACTTTCTGAGTAAACAATGCATCAGGCAGGACCCATGCAGTGTAGTTTTGTACACTATTTCTCTTTTTTAAATTGATGAATAAAAACTGTATCTATTTATGGTATACAACACATTTTGATATATGTATACATTGTGGAATGGCTAAATCAAGCTGATTAACATATGCATTCCATTACACTTTTCATTTTTCATGATGAGAACACTTAAAATCTACTCTCAGCAATTTCCAAGAACACAATGCATTAACTAAGTCATCTTGTTATACAATAGATTTAACTTATTTCTCCCAATTAATTTTGTATCCTTTCACCAACATCTCCAACCTCCACTCCATCTCCCTGCCCCTGGTAGCTACTCTTCTACTCTTCAAGATATTGGTATGTTCACTGATTGCAGATTGTGGCATCTGAGAAGAAGAGTGTACAGAGAATGTCAGTCTTGGTGAGTGTTGTGGGGTAAGCACATTGCACCTCCTGAAATGGGTAATCTGTAGAGCAGGAAAATGCAAAGATCAAGTGCCTTAGGTCACCCATGAGCATCAGAAGTTACGAGGCACAGCAAGAGAAGCAAGGCAGAAAAGTGCAGGAAAGAAAAAGAGGTTTTGCTTACTGGACAATTTTCCCTTCTCTGTGAAGCATGAGCGATAGGACGGGCAGGCCAGAAAATGAAAAGAGATAGGCTCTGCAAATACAAGCATACATTGTATCAATCCTCAGATGGGATGATCCTCCTGAGAATTTTGCTATGTTCTAGCTAATTAGCTAAATAGATAATTCATTTTACTCTTGAGAATCAAGTTTTCCCTGAGGGGGTAAATATTCAAGGTCTGCAAAAAGAGAGTCCAAGACTACTGCAAGTGTTAAGTAAATACCAAACATCCATCCTTCAAGGTTTGAGCCCAGCAAGGACAAAGCAAAGACAAATTATCTGTCTTTGGGAGTAGCCACTCCCCTCAGACTTCCCTTCATCCCCTTCCATCTAATTTCCCATCCCCTCCCTCAGCATTTAGGCTGGGAGATAACTCATGCTTTGGGAATGCAGATCCTGAAGAGAATTCCTTTTGTTACTGCCAAAATGTACATACATACATACAGTAAACAGAATCCTGCAGTACGATGTGGATGGAACACAGGCAAGGGGAACAAAAGGCATGCTCAGAACTCAGTGAATTAGAAAAGCATCAGCCGTACAAAAATGAGTGAGAGCAGACAACTGCAGAAATCCTCTCGAACAGCACTTTTTTCTAGTACAGGACAGAGCTGACCAGAGCCAAAATGAAGGTACGACTACACCTAAAGGCAGGATATAGCAAGAGAAAGGAGACGTTCTGCCATCCAAATAGGAAATTGGGAGATTTGTCAATATGTATCCAGCACATCCAAGCACTGGATGCCCTGGGCAACTAGTGCAATATTCTGTGCCCCCAAGTAGAAATAACCATAAAACAGAGATGGGTGCATCTGACTGCAAGATTACAATGCTCTTAGTCTGTCCTGCCGTGATCATCTGGCCATTTTTTGACTTCTGCTCACGTATATAGACGTCTTCCAGAAAGATATGTCTAACTGACATAAATGTCCTATGTCCTTGACAGTTGTATTTTAAATCATAAATTTATAAATTGACATTTTGGTTTCTATATCATTGTCTTGAGAGTTGCTAGATATGAGTCTATTTCAGGAGAAATGGATATTCTCTAAGAATGTTGGCAAAACTTTAGTTTCTGAGCAAACAAAGCTGAGGATCGTGGCTGTGGCCAGTCACAATAATGTCCTCCAAAGGACATTGTCCAACTGTCTGGGTGGACCCTCCAGGTATCATCCCTTTTGCTCATATCCTTCAAACTACCAGAGCCATACAGGTCATCAGGTTAATTTCATTGCAAAGGATCAACTTCCACTATAATCAGAAGCATAGAAGAGTCCTTTATAGGTTGAAATATTGTGATTTCTTCAAAGTAGCCAAAAGTCAAAACACTGTATAGAATGTAAGAGCTGCAATGACCCCGTTTCACAAATCATGACAAAATGGTCTCAAATGACTTGTTTATGGTGACATCTTTTTGGTCTCGAATTCTTGGGTTAAATCTAAGTTTCTTTTCATTGCATCACAGGGGTCCCCTAAGACCATAAAAACTATCACCGCTCCACAAAAAGTCATGTTTCTAACAGTTTTTGCACACACAGTTATTAAGTGAATTACATTTCAAAAGAGTCAATCTCAGTCTATATCCTCCCTCCAACAAATAGTGTAAAAATTTTAGTCCATTTTCAAAGATAAATATGCCCTTGTTCTCACTTAGAAGTGGGAGCTAAACAATGGGTACACATGTACATAATCATAGAAATAATAGACACCTGGCACTCCAAAAGTGGGTGGGGGGGGGGTAGAGGGAGAGAGGGTGGACAACTTACCAATCAGGTATAATGTTCACTATTTGGGTAATGGAACTAGAAGCCCAGTTCCTACTGAGAGGTGACAACGTGCTAGCAGACCTGGCTAGCTCTCGGCGCCTCCTCAGCCTCAGCGTCCACTCTGGCCGTACTTGAGGAGCCCTTTGGCCAGTCCCTGCACTGTGTGAGCCCCTCTCTGGACTGGCTGAGGCTGGAGCCGGCTCCCTCTGCTTGCGGGGAGGTGTGGAGGAAGAGGCGCGGGCGCAGGGCACTCGCGGGCCAGCGCGAGTTCCGGGTGGATGTGGGCTCAGCAGGCCCCACACTCGGAACAGCCGGCTGCTGCGGCCAGCCCTGGGCAGTGAGGAGGTTAGCACCCGGCCAGCAGCTGTGGAGGGTGCGCTGGGTCCCCCAGCACTGCCGGTCCACACCTGCCACGCTGGAATTCTCGCCAGGCCTCAGCCGCCTCCCGCCCGGACCTGCAGCCTGCCATGCCTGAGCCCCGCCCCCCGCTGTGGGGCTCTCGCGAGGCGGGAGCCTCCCCAACAGGCACCGCCCCCTGCTCCATGGCGCCCAGTCCCATCGACCGCCCAAGGGCTGAGGAGTGCAGGCACAAGGCACGGGATTGGCAGGCAGCTCCGCCCATGGCCCCAGCACAGGATCCACAAGGGTAAGTCAGCTGGGATCCTGAGTTAAATAGGGCCTTGGAGAACTTTTATGTCTAGCTGCAGGATTATATATGCACCAGTCAGCATTCTGTGTCTAGCTCCAGGTTTGTTGATGCACCAATCAGCACTTATCTAGCTAATCTGGTGGGGGCTAGGAGAACTTTTGTGTCTAGCTAAAGGATTGTAAATGCACCAGTCAGCACTCTGTGTCTAGCTCAGGGATTGTAAACGCACCAATCATCCCCCTGTCAAAATGGACCAACCAGCTCTCTGTAGAATGGACCAATCAGCTCTCTGTAAAATGGGCCAATCAGCTCTCTGTAAAATGGACCAATCAGCAGGATGTGGGTGGGGCCAGATAACGGAATAAAAGCAGGCTGCTCGGGCCAGCAGCAGCAACTGGGTACACTTCCACAGTGTGGAAGCTTTGTTCTTTCACTCTTTGCAATAAATCTTGCTGTTGCTCACTCTTTCGGTCCGCACTGCATTTATGAGCTGTAACACTCACTGCAAAGGTCTGCAGCTTCACTCCTGAGACCAGAGACACCACGAACCTACTGGGAGAAATGAACAACTCTGGATGGGAGGAACGAACAACTCCAGATGCACTGTCTTAAGAGCTGTAACGCTCACCGTGAAGGTCTCTAGCTTCACTCCTGAAGCCAGCGAGACCATGAACCCACCAGAAGGAAGAAACTCCGAACATGTCCAAACATCAGAAGGAACAAACTCCGGACACACCATCTTTAAGAACTGTAATGCTCACCACGAGGGTCCGCGGCTTCATTCTAAAAGTCAGTGAGACCAAGAACCCACCAATTTCCGATACACTACCTTGCATGGTAGGATGTCCCAGACCACCTTCAATTACTAAAGAATCACTTTCCTTTAGTTTTGCACTTTTTTTTCTAATCCGTTGAATTTCACGTTAGTTTTCTTTTAAGTGTTCTCTACTCCCATATGAAAGCAAGTAGACAGACTACAAAACACCCATTTAAATTGCAGGAGCTAGCTTGTGGTGTACTTGTATACTACATCTTTTATTATTATTGTTATTATTATTATTATTATTATTATTATTATTATTTTGAGATGAAGTCTTGCTCTGTCACCAGGCTAGAGTGCAGTGGTGTGATCTCAGCTGACTGCAACCTCCACCTCCTGAGTTCAAGCGATTCTCCTGCCTTAACCTCCCGAGTAGCTTGGATTTCAGGCATGTGCCACAATTCCCTGCTAATTTTTGTATTTTTAGTAGAGACAGGGGTTTTGCCATGTTGACCAGGCTGGTCTTGAACTCTTGACCTCACATGATCCATCCACTTCAGCCTCCCTAAGTGCTGGGATTACAGGCATGAGCCATGGCACCTATCCCACCTTTCTTTTTTTAAATTTCAACCTTTATTTTAGATAGAGGATATATATGTGCAGGTTTGTTACATGGATATGTTGCATGATGCTGAGGTTTGGGGTACAGATCCCATCACCCACGTCATGAGCATACTACCAGATAGGTATTTTTCAACCCATCCCCCCCAACCCTTCTCATAGTCTGCAGTGTCTATTGTTCCCATGTATGATGGTTAATACTGTCACCTTGATTGGATTGAAGAATACAAAGTATTGTTCTTGGGTGTGTCTGTGAGGGTGTTGCTAAAGGAGATTAACATTTGAGTCAGTGGACTAGGAGAGGCAGACCCACCCTTAATCTGGGTGGGCACCATATAATTAGCGACCAGCATGGCTGGAATATAAGCAGGCAGAAAAATGGAAAAGAGAGACTGGCCTAGCCTCCCAGCCTACATCTTTCTCCCGTGCTGGATGCTTCCTGCCCTTGAACGTCGGACTCCAAGTTCTTCAGTTTTGGACCTCAGACTGGCTCTCCTTGCTTCTCAGCCTGCAGAGGGCCTATTGTGGGACCTTGTGATTGTGCGAGCTAATACTTAATAAACTCATATATATATATACACACACACCCATATATATGTGTGTGTATATATATTTAAAAAATTTTTAAACTAAAAAAGTTTTATTGGATATTTATCTTTTTTTTATTATTATACTTTAAGTTTTAGGGTACATGTGCACAATGTGCAGGTTAGTTACATATGTATACATGTGCCATGCTGGTGTGCTGCACCCATTAACTCATCATTTAGCATTAGGTATATCTCCTAAAGCTATCCCTCCCCCCTCCCCCCACCCCACAACAGTCCCCAGAGTGTGATGTTCCCCTTCCTGTGTCCATGTGTTCTCATTGTTCAATTCCCACCTATGAGTGAGAATATGCGGTGTTTGGTTTTTTGTTCTTGTGATAGTTTACTGAGAATGATGATTTCCAATTTCATCCATGTCCCTACAAAGGACATGAACTCATCATTTTTTATGGCTGCATAGTATTCCATGGTGTATATGTGCCACATTTTCTTAATCCAGTCTATCATTTTTGGACATTTGGGTTGGTTCCAAGTCTTTGCTATTTACACACACACACGCATATATTCCATTAGTTCTGTCCCTCTAGGAAACCCTGACTAATACAACATGTTTGCGTCCATGTGTGCTCAGTGTTTAGCTCCCACTTATAACTGAGCATATGCAGTTATTTTTTTTTTTTTTTCTGTTCCTGCCACAAACTATCTTTCTTTAAAAATCTGACTCTACTCCTCACTCGGGGCAGTTGTATGGGTGGAGTGTTGAGAAAGAACTGCAGGAAGAACAGCAGAAAGGCAAGTGTGACTGGTGTGGAGTGTGAGAGAGGTCAACTGAAGATGAGGTCAAAGAGACTGAATAAGAAGGGGATGGTGCTGGACTGTTAAGGGTTTGATATTACTCTATGTGAGATGGATAGCCTTTGAAGAGGTCTAAGCAGAACATTTATAAGATATGACTTATGCTTTAAGAGGATAACTCTCGCTGCTGCAAAATGGATAAATGGGAGAACAGTTAAGAGCAAATTCCATGAATCCAGAAAAAGACAACGGTGGCTTGAATCTAGGAGTTTGCAGATTAATTTTCTGAGAGTATACAAAAAGAAAAAGAGAGAGACACAAAAATGGCTCTGAAATTTTGGACTCAAGTAATTGGAAGCTTGGAGCTGTCAATGAATGAGATGCCATGCGAAGGCACTGGGCCATACAGAGATTGCCAAGACTTGGTGGCTCTGAGAAATCTCAGTCTAGGAAGAGAGGTGGACAAGTAAAAGAATCTATGTAGGCCAGGCAAGGTGGCTCACGCCTGTAATCCCAGCACTTTGTGAGGCCAAGTCAGGCACATCATGAGGTCAAGAGATTGAGACCATCCTGGCCAACATGGTGAAACCCTCTCTCTACTAAAAATGTAAAAAAAAATTAGCTGGCCGTGCTGGCACATGCCTGTAGTCCTAGCTACTCGGGAGGCTGAGGCAGGAGAATCACTTGAACCCAAGAAGCAGAGGTTGCAGAGAGCCGAGATTGTGTCACTATCCTCCAACCTGGCAACAGAGTGAGACTCTGTCTCAAAAACAAACAAACAAAAAACAACAACAACAACAAAAGAATCTCAGTAAAAGAAATTGCCATTTCTTGGATGCTTATTTGGTAACACTTAGTATCAAGCACTGAACCAAATATTTTGCAAACATAACATAATTCAATTCTCATAAAGACTTAATTTAGTAGATATACTTAGCCCTGTTTTACAGATAAGAAACTGAAGCTTGGCAGAGTGAAGTGGCTTATTCAAGCTCTAAGAGCTGAAAGATAGAGGACCAGTCTGCATCCACACCTGTTTAACCTCAAACTTGTACTCTTAACTATTATACTTTAATCTAACTCTGGCTAAACTTAATCTGAGGAAATAAGGTAGGCAAGATATATGAAGCAAGCCCCAGAGTACACGGAGCAGCCTTTACCTATGATAGAATGATTGCACGCTCACTTTTAATCCATAAAACAAGAAGGATGGACTCTATGATTTCCATGGCTCCTTCCAGCTCTAAAAGCCTATAATTTTAAAACATGGTGCTGCTTCTTTTCACTAAAGTAAAAATCATTTTTATCCCTTAAGATTGAATAGCATATAACACAATTCTCTTATTTATACAAAACTATTCCAAGTCAGGCTGAATGGTGCATTACAGATAAAAGAATAACAGTGAACAAAGAAGGGTCAATGAGGAAGAGGAAAGGTCATATCAAAGAAAGGAAGACACCATCACAAAATCACCAAGAAAAATTAAAATGAGGCTCAAAAAATCATTTTCCCAAGAAATGAAGAATTTTTATATCTATCTTTTATACTGAGATATATTGAGTGCTGACTACAAAGTTCAGCAACATCTGAAAACATATCTTTTCCATTAACAGAAACTTTTTCAGTCTGTTTTACTCCAGATTCCAATGTATAATATCACACCTTCAATTTGTCACAATTGCAATAGTATATGAACATATTTGTACACAGAGAGAACATAAATCATGCACCTCTAGAAAAAAATCATACAATGTATTTATGTTGCCTTCTCTTTGGGATATGTTTGTGAAATTAAAGTGTGGCCTAGATTTAAGGAATCATAAAAAACAACTTTGGTTTTAATTAGGATTCAACAAGCAGCCTGTTTCTTTTCATTATCACTGCTAAATTCATAACACATATCCAGAATATATATATATATAAGCATTTAAGTATGTATGTAGGCAGTAAGCAGCTATGGGGATATTC
Organism: Homo sapiens; assembly: GCF_000001405.40. Lineage (NCBI taxonomy): Eukaryota > Metazoa > Chordata > Mammalia > Primates > Hominidae > Homo > Homo sapiens. The sequence goes on along the minus strand of NW_025791774.1, from coordinate 95,641 downwards.
CATTTGATTTGCTGAAGCTGAAGGTAAATGAAGTTACAGGAAAATAATACCAAAGTGTTTGATTAGCATGAACAGAAAAGAAAGCTCTAAACTCTGGCTTTTAAATTGTGTCTCATGAAACTATAAGAGTATTATAGTTGAGATGGCAGAACTCCGAGCCCCTCTCCTTCACTTCATTCTCATTTAGCTGTCTTCATATGATGTCATTCATATAAAGGCATCTTAAAATATTATTTTAAGCTTTAAAAAGTATGTACAACTGTAGCCAAGATTATAATGGATTCAATATTTAAAAATATTTAAAAATTGAAGACTTTGTTTCATATATTGGAATCATCATTGTCTCTAAATAACTTCCTGGGGATTGCTAGGTGAAATGGCATTCATTTATTATAATGGCTATTGTTTTTTAAAAAATACACACTAAACACAAAAACCAGGATAGAATGGTCAAATAACATGGACAAAAACCCGACAGAAGAAATTCAAATAAACTAATAAATAAAATATTTTGCCTTCTCTGTAATTTAATGTAAATGAAAATAAAAATATACTTTTAATGTATGTATCATGTCAAATTAGCAAAGTGTGTGTTGTGTGCCTGTATGTTTTAAAAACAACATTCGGTATTGGTGATAATATGTGATATGGTTTAGCCGTGTCCCCACCCAAATCTCATCTTGAATTGTAGCTTCTTTAATTCCCACGTGTCATGGGAAGGACCTGATGGGAGGTAATTGAATCATGGGGGTAGGTCTTTCCCATGCTGTTCTCATGATAGTGAATAAGTCTCATGAGATCTGATGGTTTTATAAAGGGGAGTTCCCCTACATATTCTCTCTTTGCCTACCACCATGTAAGACTAAGATGTGCCTTGACTCCTCATTCACCTTCTACCATGATTGTGAGGCCTCCCCAGCCATGTGAAACTGTGAGTCAATTAAACATATTTTCTTTATAAATTATGCAGTCTTGGATATGTCTTTATCAGCAGTGTGAGAACAGACTAATACAATGTGGCAAAATGAATATCCTAACAAGTGTTAAGAGAAAATTTTCTAGAAATCAACTTGATAATATATATCTAAGTGCTTTTAAAAGTGCATACACTTTGAAACAGACAATCTACAGAATGGCACCAAATATTTGTAAACTGTGCATCTGACAAAGGACTACTATCTAAAATCTACAAGGAACTCAAACAAATCAGCAAGAAACAAATAATCCCATCAAAAAGTGGACAAATTAGATGAACAGAGATTTCTCAAAAGAAAATATACAAATATACAAATAGTCAACAAACTTGTTGACTATGAAAAATTGCTCATCACTAATCATCAGGGCAATGCAAATTAAAACCTCTATGGGACACCACCTTACTCCTGCAAGAATGGTCATTATTAAAAAGTCAAAAAACGATACATGTTGGTGTGGATGTGGTGAAAGGGAATGCCTGTATACCACTGGTGGGAATGTAAATTAGTATAACCCCTGTAAAAAACAGTATGGAGATCCCTTGAAGAACTAAAAACAGATCTACCATTTGATTCAGCAATTCTACTACTGGGTATCAACCCAAAGGAAAAGAAGTCTTTTTATGAAAAAGACACATGCATACATATATTTATTGCAGCACAATTCACAAATTGAAAAGATATGGAACCAACGTAAGTGCCCATCAACCAATAAGTGGATAAATTAAATGTGGTATATATACACCATGGAATACTACTCAGCAGTAAAAATGATGAAATAATGTATTTTGTTGCAACTTTGATGGAGTTGTAAGCCATTATTCTAAGTAAAGTAACTCGGGAATGGAAAATTAAATACCATATGTTCTCACTTATAAGTGGGAGCTAAGCTATGATTATGCAAAGGCATACAGAAGGATATAATGGACATTAGAGACTCAGAAGGGAGATGAAGGTAGGGAGGTTAGAAATAAAAAAACTACACATTAGGTACAATGTTCACTACTCGGGCGATGGGTACACTAAAATCTCAGACTTCACCAGTATATAACCCATCCATGTAACCAAAAAGCACCTGTACCCCAAAAGCTATTGGAAATTTTTAAAAATTAAAAAATAAAAATAAAATATAAAAAATAAAAGGTCATATTCTTTGACTTAGTAATTTTCCATATAGAACTATATCCTGAGGATGTAAATGTAAGCTGGGTGGAAAAAATACTCTCCAAAGATTTATCATGATGTTAGATAATCTGTTAGTGTGAGTACAAGTAGCTAATTTTCCCAATTTCCATATTCCTGTGGAACATTTCAAAATATATAGTAAGTAAAACCTGTAATACCTCTGAAAACCATAAAAGATGTGTTCCATTTGCCAAAAAATGTAGTTTCTGGTTTGTTCTGCTTGAGAGAGGGTAGATGGCACCAGGGTGAAGGAAGAATGGAGGACAGATCAGCGTGGACAGGAAGTAGAGAAAACTCATGTGAAAGGCAGACATCATCAGCAGGAAAATCACAGCCTGGATTCCTCCCAAATGAAGAGAAAAACAGACCCTTGAAAAGCTACTGCCCCTCATAAGAAAAAAAACTACTCCAAAAACTTACAGAAAATAATTGACTCTTGTATTAATTTGTTTTCACACTGCTGATAAAGACAAAACCATTACTGGGAAATTTACAAAAGAAAGAGGTTTATTGGACTCACAGTTCCATGTGGCTGGGGAGGCCTCAAAATCATGGCAGAAGGTGAAAGGCATGTCTCACATGGCGGCAGACAAGAGAAGAGAACTTGTTCAGGGAAACTCCGATTTTCAAAACCATCAGATCTCGTGAGACTTATTCACTATCATGAGAGCATCACAGGAAAGACCCGCCCTCATAATTCAGTCACCTCCCCATGACATGTGGGAATTGTGGGAATTACAGTTCAAGATGAGATTTGGGTGGGGTCACAGCCAAACCATATCAACTATGAAAGGGATTTACTGCTAGAAAAGTACACATGTTTAGAAAAATTTTGCCCCTTTATCTCAACAGTATGTGAACTCTTATTGTATTTATGAAACTAGAGTAAACAGTCATAAGATCAGGAAAGAACATATAGAGAAAATAAATTGTTGGATTAAAAAATCACTGTGGTGGTGGTAGAGATCAGAAAATTGGCCATAGCTGAAAATCAAATCAGTAAAGTGGAAGACAGGGTTGGAAATCCGTCCAAATCTCAGAGAAAAGTAAAAAGATTTAAATATAAGAGAAAACATAGACATGGAGACTAGATAAGAAAAATCCAATAATCTATACGTAAAAATTAGTTCTCAATTGTAGATCATGGTACAGATGAGGCTGACCTAATTATTATAGGCATCATGGCATAATTTTTTCCTGAGCTTACAAAAAACCTGAAACAATTGTTGCAAATGGCTTACTGATTATGTAAATGAAAAGACAGAGATCGTCTGTATGTATTTCAAGGATAAATATTCTTATAAGCATTCATGAAGACACTTAATCACTTACAAAGAAATAAAAATCAGTCTATCTACAGACTTCTCTTCCACAACAATAATGTTCAGAAGAAAATGGAGCAAAACTTTAATTAGAAGGAAACAAAAGGAGGAGGAAGAAGAGAAGTATATTTTTACAGAGTTTGGATTTTCTGAATCTGTTCCCCATGTCTTTTATTTTTTCTCTTGTTTTTAAATCTTTGTGACCTCCTGTGAGGAGGAGAAAGAAGAGGAGGAGATGAAGAAGAAAAAGAATTTCAGACACATATAAATTGCTATTTATGTGCAAAGGCAGCAGAATTACATTCTCAAACAATGCAGTTAGGAAATGCTCTGAAAACATTGCACCTGTAACAAACTCTTCCCGAAGTCTTTTTCAGAAAAATTATCTACCATCTCACAATGGCCCAACATAAGTGAGAAGACCAAGTGAAGTATCTCAAAAACTGAGACTTTTTCAACTCTTAAATTCACAGGCAGTCTAGGTTCCATGCAAATCATACTCCACAAATAATAACAGAGAAATTTTTAGATTTCTTTTTAATATTAGAAGATCAAAGCACTCAAATCAATCATTCTTTGCATTATCTGTATATTAGAATCTCCTGTAGATCTTGTAAAATCCCCAATGCCCATGCAGCACCCCAGACATTAAGATATTTAAATGTCCAGCTGGGGATGAAACCCAAATGACAGTATATTTTAAATCTTTCTGTGTGATTACAATGTGCAGCCAAGATTAAGAAGCAGTGCTCCACAATGAGATACCATCTCATGCTGGTTAGAATGGCCATCATTAAAAAGTCAGGAAACAACAGATGCTGGAGAGGATGTTGAGAAATAGGAACGCTTTTACGCTGTTGGTGGTAGTGTAAATTAGTTCAACCATTGTGGAAACAGTGTGGTGATTTCTCAAGGATCTAGAACCAGAAATACCGTTTGACCCAGCGATCCCATTACTGGGTATATACCCAAAGGATTATAAATCATTCTACTATAAAGACATTCTACTATAAAGACACATGCACACGTACGTTTATTGCAGCACTATTTACAAGAGCGAAGACTTGGAACCAACCAAAATGCCCATCAGTGATAGACTGGATAAAGACAATGTGGCCCATACACATGATGGAATACTATGCAGCCATAACACAGAATGAGTTCATGTCCTTTGCAGGGACATGGATGAAGCTGGAAACCATCATCCTCAGCAAACTAACACAGGAACAGAAACCAAACACCACATGTTCTCACTCATAAGTGGGAGCTGAACATTGAGAACACATGGGCACAGGGAGGGGAACATCAGACACCAGGGCCTGTCGGAGGGTGAGGACAAGGGGAGGGACAGCATTAGGACAAACACCTAATGCATATAGGGCTTAAAACCTAGATGATGGGTTGATGGGTGCAGCAAACCACCATGGCACATGTATACCCTATGTAAGAAACCTGCACATTCTGCCCATGTATCCCAGAACTTAAAGTAAAATAAATTTTTTTTAAAAGATGCAGTGCCACAAATCTTTACTGTGCACAGAGCAGAAAACACAACAAAAAAAGGAACAATGTAAGGGCACTGTTTTCTCCCTAGTCAGAAGGTGCAAACTTTCATTTTAATATTTTTAATTTGCCAATTATATTGCTTTTCCAGCTAAGATCTTTTTAAAATACTTGCATGTCATACTAAATGAACACTTTGGGCTTTGCTGGCTGATCACCCTTAGCAACTCCAGAGCAATGGCTTGGGAAAGTTGTTTTCATGAAAGACTCCCTCTGTACTACATTTCTTCCTCAAAACAGAATTATTTGAACTATATTTGAAGAGCATAATTTTAAACCGGATTAATTTCAGGGTCCATAAATGAAAAGCTGACACACACAAAGAAACTTCAGCCAATAGAAGAAATAGCTAGGGCCCCAGACTATATAACAAAGGAACAGTTTAAAAGACCACTCAAGGATTTTGTATATTTATGAATATATTAATGAAAGCAAATATTGAATATATGGGGTTTTAGTCTACTCTGGGTCAAAGTGGCTTCAATGTTATGTGAAGTAGCCTAAGGAGTACGCACCTTAACTCTTCAGGTCACTGTGATAGCATGTGCATCAGTGAGCTGCAGGAGCCATTATGTGCATTAATGGGACTCTAACACACTTGTCTCTAAAGTGTGTGAAAGACAGGCCATATCCATGAGGCAGCCAAGGTCGTGTCTTCAGCATAAGCCAGAGAATTCAGACCAAAATGTTACCTTCATAATATAATATCCAGATCTAATCTCAAAACTGTTCCATACATTTATTTATTTATATTCTCTACTGGACTAAAGGAGGTTTCCAAGTCAAACACTGTGATTGAGGCAGACTTGACTTTAAAGAATTAAGTGTATTTAGTTATAATTCCATAAAGTCTCCACTTTGTAATTCATGCTTTTGTCATGAATGGAAGTTACAGAGATTCAATTCCAATGCAAAAATATTTATCTTGACAGAGTTTGACTAAATAAAGCTGACACACATCATCTGGAGCTCAGAAGTTATATTAATTTTCAAGACCAGAAGGAAGTGAACCAGAGAAAAGAAACTAACTTTAATATACTGAGATCTTTCATGTCACAAAAGCCAAGCCAAAGCTGAAATCCAGGGACAAAAGCAGGTCTTAGCTAAGAAGTGGTGTTCTGCGCCATATCCTTCCTGCTGGGAGTAAGGTTAAGCATTACCACTAGGCTAGCCGCATTGTGAGACCTCATTACTTCAGACCACTCTAATGTGGAATTTGTGAAAATTTCATCAGGGCCCTGGCTAAAACTCCCTGGGATTCACAGAATTTAGGACTGGAAGATGATCACATCCAGACAACAGCTGTGCCTACAACAGTCCCTATCCCCGACGACAGCAAGTGCACGGTAGGTACTTAATAAATAGCAGGTGATTGTACGCACTTGTGGAATGACCCTCCCACATGGAGCAGACATCCTCCCAACAGCATCTTTGGCAGATGGGAATCTGGCATCTGCTTTTCTGCCATCTATTGACAGGCCTCTAATGATCTCCTGAGGACACTCATTCTCTTACTCAGCCACTCTAATTGTTGGAAAGTTCTGTCTTAATGTTGAACTAAAACCTGTCTTCATGTAATGGTCCCCTACTGGCATGAGTTCTGCCCTCGACACAACATAAAATGAATTTTTTTAGTCTTCTACCTGATAGTTCTTAAAAGAATTAACAGAAGTTAACAGGCTTCTCCATACACACAATCATCGTAGATCCTGTCTTCTGGGTATAATTTAGATTGTGAATATTAATGTTAATGCCCAATGATTCCCAGGACGGAAAATAGTATTACAGATATAAACAGAGAGTGATGTTACCACATCTTAATTTAGGCAAATTTTTAATGACCACAACATATATAATTGCTTCCATGAAGAATATCCAACAATTTCCACCAGGCTTCTACTCTTGAGTACTTCCAAATTTAATTTCTAAAGTAAGTTTCCAAAGCAGGAAAGAATTTTTCCCCTATTAACTTTCATAAAGAATAGAGAAGACATTGCATTGCCTGCTGTGGAGTTGTTTCCCTCCCCAGGCAAAGCCATCTAGTGAGGACCAATGGAACTTGGATGAACATGAACTTATTTCAGTGTATTGGGACTTACAGCGTCAGTCTTCTGGGAGGCTCACTACTTCCTCTGGATACAATTCAAACTTTCCTTCCCAGAGCAAGGGCTTATTTGTCTTCCCTAGGCAACTTCTCTTCATTCTTAGCACACTGTTGTGTTAGCAGATGGAGCCTGGTAGAAGCCCGCACTGTATACATGTCTACATAGACAGTCTTGAGGGCTGTATTCTGGAAAGGGGAAAACTGATGGATAAGGTCTCCCTTACAACATCACTTGGGCCAGCCACTGGCCTTGTAACCTGGGAAAAATCAAAAGCCTTACACACTTTCCTTGTGTTCTTTACTTGCAACACACCGTTTCTGAAGAAAACAATTTCCCCAGCCCCTGCATTTAGCTAGAAAAACCTCTTATATAGGCTAACCACAGACTTTTATTTAGATTAGCTTCTAACCTGTTAAACACATTAGTTCGCCCAACCTCTTTACACCCTACAGGTTTCTATGGTAGCATCCCCTACATATAGAACTATTGCTTTTTTTTAAATGTCAAAACTTTAAAGAACACTGTTGATATAAAGTCATTGTAAATTTGTATAGCCTTTGCAACCATTTTCTTAAAAATGTAACATTTTTGAGGAAGGGAAACTTCATTCTAATGGTACAAAGATATCATGTGGACTAGCAGCAGGGCTGCCTCATAAACTCCCATGTAAGAAATGCATTTTCAGCCTATGAGCCACTCAAGGATATTCAGTGCAGCATTGTTTATAAAAATGAAAAAAAAGGAAAGACCCTCATACATCCATCAGCAGAAGAAGAGATAAATAAATGTGGTCTCTTCACACATCAGAATACTATAGATCCACTAAAAAGAATGAATTAGAGCTAAAAGGATCAACATGGATAAATCTCAAAGAACATAATGTTGAAAATATATATGTGTATAGTGTGACACCATTTATGTAAATAGTAAAATGCAGAAAGCATTATACAGATAGGCCATGGATGTATAAATTTGTAGCAAAATGTGTAGTGCACACACTTCAAGATCAGAGTTAACCCAAGTGAAGGAAGACAGAAAGGAGATACAGGAAAGATATAAAGGGACTTACCCTGGGCCAATAATATTTAATTTCCTTTTTCATGTATAATGTGTATGACAGAATATTAGCATGTGTTAAATCTGGGTCACAGTTGTATGGGTACCTGTATTTTTCTGTATGTTTGAAATAACTCATTTTTTCAAGTGAAAGAGAAAGAAAGTTGTGCTTTATTTCCCCAAAGGAGCTACCATGTTTCTGCCCCTCTGATAATGAGATCCCTATTATTCAGTGGTTTTCCAATGTTTCTTTTTTTTTTTTTTTTAGCACCAGAGTCTTCCTTTCAAATGAAAATTTTTATGGATTCCTAATATACACAACCAATAAAAGCAGAGGTGCCCTGGAGCTCTGCTTTTCCTCCCACCCTCTGTGCATCTAACTGAGTCCCCAAAGATATCTTCATAGATCAGAAAGCTCCAGAAAGCACAGTTTGAAAACCAATGGTGAATTCGTTTTGATCTGAATGCCAGGAAGCTACAAGCCAGTGTTCAAGCTTTATGTCAACAACTACGGGTAGGATATTTACATCCTCCCACTCCCTCCCTACCACTGATTTATGAGCTGGTATTTCTTTTTATCAAGAACCTCAATGTAATAAAATGGTCCATCTTCAATAATTGACAAAAATTAATACCTCTCAACAATTTAACTGACATTTCTGAATTGTCATCTCTATAATTATTACAAATCACAAAGGTTTTCCAGTACAGTAGTTCCCCTTAGCCACAGGGGATACGTTCCAAGACCCCCAGTGAATGCCTAAAACCACGGATAGTACCAAAACATATATACACTATAAATGAATTTCTTTTTCCTTCTTCACAATTTCACAGATAGAAGATTCATTCTTACCATAGATCTGAGCAATGTCAGCATACAATTTTTTTTCTTTCCTTACTAATTTGAGAACTTTCACTTTTCCCTTAAAGGAAGGACTTTATGCTTTTCTTTGGAATATCCAAATTGCCGGAATCACACACTTGCACTTTGGGGCCATTATTAAGTAAAAAAAAGGGTATCAACCCAACACAAGCGCTGTGATACTGCAACAGCAGATCTGATAACCCAGGTGACTCCTAACTGATTCACGGGCAGGTAGTGTTGACAACAGGGATATGCTGGATAGAAGGAGGATTCATGTCCCAGGAGGAGGGAGGGGGACTTTGTGAGATTTCATCAAGCTACTCAAAATGGTGAACAATTTAAAACTTATGAATTGCTTATTTCTGGAATTTTCCACTGATTATTTTTGCATAGCGGTTGACCTCAGGTAACTGAAACCACAGGAAGTGAAACCATGGTTAAAGGGAAACTACTGTGTTTGTGTTAACCAAAAAATATTTTTAAGATAGAAATACAGGAAGAACATTTTCTTAATAAAATAAAATATCCCTTAAAATAAAAGAGAGCACTAAATTATTTAGAGTGAATGTCGTTACCCAAATTCATGAGAATCCAGCATTCGAAATGTCAAAATTTAAAGAATATGATATATAAATGGCCTTCAACTACCATCCAACACACATTTTTTTTTCCATACTCCATGAGCTAGTTTATTTGGAATCCCATGGAAATGATTTTCTTCTTTTTTAAATTTTTATTTCAGGTTTGGGGGTACATCTGAAGGTTTGTTACACAGATAAACACGTGTCACGGAGGTTTGCTGTACACATAACATCACCCAGGTATTAAGCACAGTACCCAATAGTTATCTTTTCTGCTCCTCTCCCTCCTTCCCCCACTCTCTTCTCAAGCAGACCCCAGTGACTGTTGTCTCCTTCTTTGCAACACATGTATTAATATGGCAATTTTTTCCTTTTTTTTTTTTTTGAGACAGAGTCTCACTCTGTTGTCTGGGCTGGAGTGGAGTGGTGTGATCTTGGCTCACTGCAACCTCTGTCTCCCAGGTTTAAGCAATTCTCATGCCTCAACCTTCAAATCAGCTGGGATTACCGGTGCATACCACTACGCCCGGGAAATTTTTTTGTATTTTTAGTAGAGACAGGGTTTCACCATGTTGGCTAGGCTGGTCTCAAACTCCTGCCCTCAAGCGTTCCCCCCGTCCCCCCACCCCTGCCGCCTCAGCCTCCCAAAGTGCTGGGATTAAAGGCACGAGACACCACACCCAGCCTAATATGTCATTCCTGTGACCAACAATCTATCTATACATAAAGATAGTGTAGCTACTTTAACTTCAATTCTGTGAATGTTCTGAAATTTTCACACTTTCTATTAACACAAATTCATTTGTTTACCAGGTGATCTTATGCTATATTTATGAAAATGTAACATTTTGTAAAGAAGTCTATTCAACAAAGCATTGCAATTGATCATTCAAACACAGCAAAGCTCAAAATCATAGTTCCCAGAAAATTCAAAATAGCCCAATAATATACATATGGTTTGCCAAATATTAAACGTATTTGCAGTAGCTAAATAGAGGTGTGCCACAGCTAGAGGAACAGTGACTGCTTTACTACTGAGTTGCTGACTTTTAATGTTTGTCTATATAATGAAAAATATCACTTTGGGGAGAAATTACGCACAGTAGCAGTAACAGGCAACCTGACTGACCAACTGAAATGCAGCTACCCAGTGAGCTCCATATCAGAGAAATCACAGAATTAGAGTAGAATGCTAATTGTTGCTTCCTGGCTAGACACCCAGGCTTCCGATTCTCACCGGACACCCACCCACACATGACCAAAGAAGGCTTCTACATTTTAACAAGAGAATCCTAATCAATCTTCCCCTTACACCAGGCCCAAGAGTTGCCTGGGCTTACAGTGAAAAATTATTTCTTTATCAGCTGTTTTTCCCCTTGGCCTCACTCTCCCTTTAAGGGAAACAAGCAGTCTCTGCCTTACTTCATTCACTGAGTAAGTATTGGGGATGTCAGCTGGGATGTGAAGGACACTATGAAAAAGGAGAGTGTCAGGTTGCAAAGAGAGGCTTTGGGGTAGGGCAGATATGTAAAGGAAGGCAGAATAAGGGAGACGAAAAGGAACTGATGAATCCTATGTCCTATGTTGATCGATCAAATGACAAAAATCAATCTGCTTGCCTGAAAATGTACCATAATCAAGATCACAAAAGAACAATAATATGAATGAATTTTTGAAGAGATGCCTTTTAACACAAATCAGGTGTTAAGGCACTTTTTACAGCAACATATGACATTGGTGTGTTGGGGGAAAAAAGACAAATGGAAAAAAAACTGGAAAGTTCAAAGAACCACAAAAATGATAAAATGCATAGTGAAGTTTTCATCAGGAAGGTTATATAGCCTAAAAAGCCTAGTGAGAACAAGTCCAAAACATGATTGGGTAAGAGCAGAGGTTGATCAAACACCAAGATAGATTGGTTACTAAAGTCAGCTGAGATGTTCATCTCTAGAAATACATAGGAAAAGAACAGACAACCTCAGAAATAGAAGACTTAGGTCCTCATCTGCACCAAATCAGAAGTGATGACCAGGACTAGGACCCTGCGTCAAAATAATACACAAGAAGTGTCTGGTATAGGTTCCAAGAGTGTTGTTCAAGGATATATAAAGATTAAATCTAAGATATCCAACAGTCAACACACTGGCTCTGAGAAAGGATAGAAGACTGGCATGAAGAGACTCCATCCAGCAAATGCCCAGTTTATGCACAGGGAAAAGTTTGAGTTTCAACAACCTGCAATAAACTCTTTATTAGCTTGATAGTCAGGGAATGTGGTGCCCCAGCTAATCAAATGTTTTTTGTTAATTGTTGCCACATGCAAAAAGATTACAAATTTTTAAAGAATGAGAATAAATTAAAATACACTTAACACTGAAACTAAACTGATTATAATTTAATCTTTCTCTAATTATTCAGAATGCATTCTGGGGTCATCAAGAGAAGCATAAATTATCAATGCTTGATGACTATGCAGGAAGTCGCAGTTTTTCCAAAATCCTGGTTACTAGATGCTGGTAATAAATAATTCACTGCAATAGTTATCATTTGGAGGATTTATGTGGTAGGCATTTCTCTAGGATATGAAGTATGCCATTAATCTGCACCAAAAATAAGTTTTCAGAGATGATGAACTGATATTCATAACTTGCCCAAGGCTCACAAGCTGAAAGAGTATCAGAACCAGATTCTGAAAATGGATCTGTCTTTAAAGAATATACTCTTTCTGAAATCATGTCTTTTGCAGCAACATAGATGAAGCTGGAGGTCATTATCCTAAGAGAAATCACTCAGAAACAGAAAATTAAATGCTGTATGCTTTTACTTATAAGTGGAAGCTAAACAATGGTACACATGGACACAAAGAAGGAAATTAAATAGACACTAGACATTCCAAAAGTGGGGAGAGTTGGAGGATGGATGAGGGTTGAAAATTACCTATTGGGTATAATGTTCACTATTTGGTTGACAGGTATACAAGAAGCCTAAACCTCGCCATTATACAATATATCTATGTACATCCTGCACATGTACCCCCCTGAATCTATCTAAGTCAATCAATCAATCAATCAAAGAATATGCTCTTTCAGTATGTCAAACAAGCAAATCCTTGTGGCATAAGAGTATTCATAAAGTTATCTGCCTGTCTGTACAAAATTTGTACACAATCAATGGGTCAGGCTATTTGTTTTTCTAGGAGTGCTAAAAGATTTTTCTGAACTATTCTTGTCATTGTTACCATCTATTCATGAGGGCAGCAAACTTTGGCCATGAAATATTTTTGAAGCTTCCTTTTTTTTGTTTTTTAAGGCCAACTGCTCATTCAAAGTATCAAGAACATATCCTGAACATCTTTGGGGAAAAAAAATGTTTTAAGGGACTAAACCCACAGAGCCTCAACCACATAAAAATGATCTACTAATAAATGTATACCTTACAATAGACTCATTTACTCATATTTTATGTGCTGATCTAATTTTTTATTATTCTGATTTTCAACTACAAAACATATTTGACTTGACTCTGACTCATAAAAGAATATGGTCGTTTAAAATTATTTAAGACTTTGAGCTGTGTCTAAATATCAAAGAAATGAATTCCACTTGTTGCCAGGAGAGTAAAAAAGGTTATTTCATCAGCAAATGTCAAACATTCTTCCTCCTACCCTACTCCTATTATCTGTTTAGTCCGCACTCATTAATGTTTTCACCTGAATCATCGATGGCTTCTTGTTCACCTTCACTCACCAGCACCAATTAAAATTCTTCAGGGTTCAAATGCCTTTTCTTCCTCCATCCACAATAGTTTCACTTATTTTTAAAGCAGACAGTGATTCCTATAACAGACTTTCACAAACAAGGGGGGAAATGTGGCCGAGCTTTAGGATAACACAAACTAATCTCAGGCCATGATACTGTTTCATTAGCTAATCTCAACACACAGGAGACTTTGCTGTTGATGAGATGACCCTACTGAATGAGACGGGCCTCCCTCCCCCATCTCTGCACATAGCCTTTTCAGATAAACTTTAAGAATTACTTTCTAAAAGAAACTATTTTCATCTCTAGCACCAGAGTGATATTTTCATTGTATTGAAGAAAATGCTACCTAAACAGTAACTTGAGGTAAAAGCAGTACTGATTGGAATAAGCTCTACGCTCAGAAGTCAGAATAGAAAAACAGACTTGCCTATATGAAGTCTCTGCACAGACTTATGATGAGACTGTAATTCTGAAAACGCCGCAATATAATCCCTCCTTCTAATTCAGGATCTTACCCAGAAACAAAGGTTTAGTGTTCAAGTTAAATATACGTAAAGTTAAAATTACTACGCTATCTAATTGAATTAAATTATGCATTTATGGCAAAGTTCAAAAACTCATACTTAACTATCTTAAAATTTAATAGATTAGATGCCTCTTGCCATAATTGTGTTTTGAAAGGTGATTTTACTGCTGGTGATTGTAGCTGCTGTGAAGTTCTTCAGCTGGGGATTTTACACTAATGCTTTGAAATGAGTTGGCACATCCAGTTTCCTCTCTGAGATTTTATGCTCTCTACAGTAACTTTGTTAAACTTGAGTCTGAAGTGCCCTTCTGACTCTATGAATTCCAAGGGAAAACTTTCTCAAGCAAAGAAAGGTGAGGTTCATTTTCAATGTGAATGAATAGAAGAGGAAACACTCAGATTGAAGGTCAAGAAAATGTTACCTGGAACCTCAATCAATATCAATAGAAACAGCGCATTGAAAAGCAAGGTCTAATTTTATGTCCATATAAGAAAGGTGTTAAATTTCAAATTAGGTAGCTGGATAAGAAGAATGAAGAGAGGCTTTTTTTTTTGTATAAAAAAAGACCATTAATTATAATTCCTTGGACTAAATTTTATAGCCTACGAAATTATCAAGAGTTCTAATAAAATGTGATCCGTGACATACTTCTGCAGAACGACTATCTAGAAGGTCACAAAATTCTTAGGCTGGCAGTATCCCAAAAGATCAGCTAGTTCAGCCCTTTTATTTTCAATTAAAGAAACTGAAGCATGGAGCGCTTAAGAGAATTTATACATGAGAGCTTTAAAACTCTAGCATATATTTAAATTGTTGTTGTCCCAAACAGAAGTTTAATATCAAAAGGATATAATTAGTGTTCATGCATATTCTAATACATACAAATTGTTTATAATAGAATAAATAATCTGCCACTTCTTTAGAAATCAAAAAAGCACAATGGTGGCATAAGTCTAATATTTCATTGAAATTCCCAGAAGTAAGTAATTCAGTTTTTCTGCTAATCTAGGCTCAATCTCCTTTCAGTTATTAAACATTTACTGAGCACTTACGGAATGCTGAGTATATAGCTCAAAACTCCAAAATTTTTTCTGGTGAGAATTTTGTCTTTAAAAATGGTGAATAAAATCTTTAGGTACACTTCTTCTGCCTATGAGTTCTTTTACCTTTTAATAACTTTCATTTTCTCCTGAAAATGCTCTTTTTTTTTTCCCAAAGATTATCATGGATATCATCTTCAAGAATCAAAGTATCTCTCAAGTTCCATATATTCAATTGTCTTATTCAACAAGTATTTGCTACAATGCTGTAGTTAGAAGCCTCTGCAGTGGTCATGGCATCAATTTTTAATGTTTTCAATCATAATATTGCTGATTTTTGTCTACATAGTATCAGGCTCATTATTGAAAAAAATAAGATAGGAGGTAGTGAACCAGTAATTCACAGAATTAGGAGTCTGTGAAAGTTGGCAGAAACAACATTTATATCACTGTAGAGCAACTGACCAATATAAGCAACATTGAAGCTATAAAAAGGTAAGATGAGAAGACTACAGAGAGGAAGGTTATAGAACCGGTGAGATCAGCACCGCCTAAGGTCGCACTGCAAATCCACCATTTCATTTTTTTTTCACTGCACCGAGAGCTAATCCCTACTAATGAACAAGATTTTTATTTACAAAACCTAATGTCAACGTATTAATTTACAATGAGGAATATCTCTTTCCAAGCATGGGAAAACTCATGTTAAGTTTCATGAGCAGAAATAGATAGCATTTGACCATCTACTTCCTTTGATTCTTTCCATGAGCCCATAGCTATCCAACAGAATCCTTAACACAGTCATCCAGGCAACGCCTGTGAATCACACTAAAGTGGAACTCTACTGGCTTCATTCAAAGGCAGTGATTTTTCGCTCCCAAGATGACTAAGAGGCAGATAGTAACCAGGTTATTCTGGAGATCAGGGAATAAGAGCTAATGTAGACAGATGCTTGAGGACCACCTCATCTACACTCTGGGGGAAACCTGAGATACTCACCTTGCTTCAATTCCAGTAGCCCCCTAATCACTAAAATATTCCAACATGGCTCTCTCTTGGAACAGTTTTTAAAAATCATTACTGAATCCTCCCTGAAGCTATCTAGGGAATAGAAAAAAATAGATAAATCAATAAATAATAAAAAATCATTATTGAATTTTTTCTTTTCTCCCCCTTCCCCTTTTTCTAGTTTCCATTCAGCCAACTCTTCATATTGGAAAGGCTAACTTTTTTCAGATAAATAACAATTCTTTTCCTCATTGGTCTTCACAGTTGTGGAAAATAAAAACTGAGCTTCTGCTTACTGTTACACTATACATTTTCATGAAAAAAAGAAAGGTTACGGCCAGGCACGGTGGCTCACGCCTGTAATCCCAGCACTTTGGGAGGCCAAGGTGGGCAGATCATGAGGTCAGGAGATTGAGACCATCCTGGCTAACATGGTGAAATTCTGTCTCTACTAAAAAAATACAAAAAAAAAATTAGCTGGGCATGGTGGTGGGCGCCTGTAGTCCCAGCTACTCAGGAGGCTGAGGCAGGAGAATGGCATGAACCTGGGAAGCAGAGCTTGCAGTGAGCCGAGATCGCGCCACTGCACTCCAGCCTGGGCAACAAAGCGAGACTCCGTCTCAAAAAAAAAAAAAAAAAAAAGAAAAAGAAAAAGAAAAAAAGAAAGGTTAGTTTGAAATCATCTGATTTTTTTAAAGGCTTTATTGTATCCTTAAAATTCACTGGACCTGAGATGGTGGGAGACCTTAAGTATCACTTCAGAGTAGTGGAAACTGAGTTAAAAAGCCCAAAGTGATGTCCATCAGTTGGGGCACAGCATAGATATTGGAATACTACAGACAGAGAAGATAATGGTTTCCAGTTAAAACGCACAAGGAAAGATTCTCTGATGTGTGATCAAGCTGCTTCTCACATGGGCAACTCCATGAAACCTGTTCTTGTGAAGCAGGTATGCCAGGTTCTATGTTTCTAAGAGAATGTGCCTCATAAATGGTTTAGGTTTCTGACCACATCAATATATGCCTCACCAGACAAGTGTGGTAAAGTAGCTCATCAAAAAACTTACATAAACTTACATAGATAGGTAGCCAGATAGAGACATACAGAGTATATGCATATATGTATACATATTTCTGTGTATGTGTGAATGTGTTTGTGTATGTGTGTTATTCTGGCTTTATTAAGCACTATATTAATCACTTGGTCATAGTACATGTTCTCTAAAAACCCTTAAATTGGTCACAATGTTACACAGCAGTATAGAAATGTGCAGGAAAATAAATTGATAAAATCTGAGAATCTAGACTTTGAAAAGACCCAAATAATGAGCACCAACCCCTTTCCTTGGCAGTGGAGAATGTTGAGGTCCAGATAATGTATTTTGACCAGAGTGATGAATGTCCTTAAACAGAAGCATAAAGTACGTATATCAAATATGAGAATAACATCTAACAGTCTAAGGTGTTCAGAGCATATGTAGATATAAATGATCTCATTTTATTTTCACAACTGACCTTGGATTAGGCAGAACAGCAGTTAGCATTAGTCCCATTTTACAGATAAGGAAATTGACATTTAGAGAGTACCAATGATGACTTACCCAAAGACACACCACTAGAGCACAGAACTCTGTTCATCTTTCCTCTCCAAAGCCTGCAGACTTTCTACTTCGATGCATTCTACTCTTCCATGCTTCCCAGTGGGAAGGAAGGGCAAATGACAAGTACGTCATGAGTGGAAGTAGCAGGGGGAAATAAATGAGAAGGGCATCTGGCATATCCCTTTTTAAGGTTAACTCTGTAAACCCTGGCTGAGTCTAAGTGTGGTCTACATATGTAGACTAGTGGGACACAAACATAAGAAATTATTTTCTTCATGACTTTTCAAATTCCACAAATAAAACTACCATGTATCCAAAGGAAATGAAATCAGTATGTCAAAGAGATATCTGCATTCCCGTGTTCACTGCACCATTATTCACAATAGCCAGGATGTGGGATCAACCTACGTGTCCACAGTGGATGAATGGATAAAGAAAATGGGGAATACAGTGTCATTTTTCACAGATTTAGAAAAATATTATTCTAAAATTCATATGTAATCAAAAAAGAGCCCGAGTAGCCAAAGCAATCTTAAGCAAAAAGAGTGAAGCTGGAGAAATCACATTACCCAACTTTAAACTATGCTACAAGGCTACAGTAACCAAAACAGCATGGTCCTACAATTGGACCTTAGAAAGAATAAAATCCTGTCATTTGCAACAATACAGATGAACCTATAGGACATTATGTTAAGTGAAAGAAACCAGGCACAGAAAGACAAATACCACATGCTCTCACTTATATGCGGAATCTAAAAAAGTGGATCTCAAAGAGGCAGAGAGTAGATGGTGAGAATAACATCTAACATTTTAAGGCATTCAGAGCATATGTAGACATAAATGATCTCGTTTATGGGGCTGGGGAACTCAGGAGATGCTGTTTCAAAAGAGACAACATTTCAGTTGGATAGGAGCCAAAAATTCAAGAGATTTATTGTACAACATGGTGACTATAATTAATAACAATCTGTTATATTCTTTTAAATTACCAAAAGAGTAGATGGTAAGCATTCCCACCACAAAAAAAAATGCTAATATGTCAGGTAATGCATGTGTTTAAGGCATTTTAGATTGTATACATGTTTCATAACATGTTGTACACAATAAAGATACAATTTTTGTCAATTAAAAAATTAAAAAACAAAAATTGCACACTCTATATACTAGCACCCACTAGCCATTCTCATGCCCAGCCTTCAACCTCATTCTTCCTCTGTGTTCTGACCTGGCCCCTTGTGGCTAGCAGCCATCCAGTGCAGCCAGGAGCAGCCTGGTTAGCAGTATTGAGTCAATCCAAATCCCACCCCACGTGGCCCCAAAGCCATACAGTTATATTTAACAGGAGTTATGACATGAACTGCTTCCTAGGGGCCAAGGTGACAAAGATGTCCTCTGAGAAGCAATAAAACAATAGATACACAGTGAGAATCTATATTCAGGTATTTGGGTCTCTATTCTGAGCTTGCAATAGATTTTTAATTGGCTGGTGTTTCTAAAAGGTCACCGTATTAACCTTTGAAATCTTTCCCTAATGCTTAGGATTTTTTTCTAATGCACATTTAGAAAAACACAGGCGCTTAACACATTTTGTCCAGTTAAATGGACCTCTGTGATCTGAAATTGGCATAGGCAGGTGGCTGCCAGGTCTGCACTACTTTGGGAAATAGATGTATTTCTCCTTTACCTGCTCTCCGTGGGAAGGGAAAGACGTAGAGGGAGGGAGAATGCTGACAGACAACAGCAGGGTGATTCTGTGCTCAGCATCTTGTCTTGGTGGTATATCCAAGCTGCAAGATTTATAACCTTCTTGTTACAATGTATCAGCTTCAACACTTTCAGTGAAGTCTTCAATAACTTCGATGACATCTTGCTGAGGGGTTTTGTCATTAAAAGCTGAAAGCTGGTCATTAACAAACCTTCTCTGCAATCATCTACCGCTGTGCTAACTCAGGCATGGATCTGCCTGGAAAGTTGGACTGGCTCAGAAACTTTTCAGAAGGCTGCATTTTTTGTGTGTGTGTGGGGGGGTATATTTCTTCAGGGAAAGAAAATATGCCTCCCAACCATTTAGTCATTTATTTCTCATTATTCATTATCTAGCCTTTCCATGATAGAACCAAATTCAACAAATATGTGTATAACACTACTATGTAACAGTCATGGTGCTTAGAGCTGAAGATATAATTATAAAAAAAAGACAAAGCTCTAGCCCTCAGAGAATTCACAGCACCTCCACCCCCCAAAAAAATTAGTCAATCATTTACAGAATCCTTAGGAAATGTGCCAGACTTTTTTTAGGCATCATAAGCATTATTTTGCTCATTTTTCACCACTCTTTAGAAGATCAATGTTCTTATTATCCCCATTTTAGAGATTAGATGACTGAGGTGGTTGCCTGTTTCAGAATTTTCCCTAAAGTTTTGGGCTCATTATGGGCAGAACCAGGGTCTCAAACCTATGTTTTCTCTGACTTCAAGCAAGCCCATCTACTTCAAACAAAAGTGGGCCAGGAAGAAAGCAAAGAGCATGGCATTCCAGGTGGAGGAAGGATCATAAGCCAGGCTAAAAGCACACATGTGCTGGGTAGGTATGAGAAACAGGTTGAGCACCGCTCGGATCCCCTTTCAAGATAATTTAGGTGATGGGGGCAGTATCAGCCATCGGAGCAATGGCCCCTGGCTCCCCATTCTTCCTCATCTCCATGAAAGCACTTAGACTGGAGAGGTATCCATTTGTGTGCATCTACATATGAAGCCAAAATTGCCCATTGGCTCTTAAGTATTGAGGAGTGGCATAAATGTTATGAATATAATAAAAATTCCTATGATACAAGAAAATTTTAACTATTTGAATGTCATTGAATCCCAAACATATACAAAGATTCAAGTGGCAGAACAATTCCCAGTTACTTGATAGCAGTTTCCACTGTCAATGATTTGACTTTTCACCTAATCTGGTCACCTCCCACAGGGAAATAATGAATGGAGGTGCTGCTTTCTCCTCAGTGCAATTCACACTAGAAAAAGCCAGAGGACCAATGTTATAACACACATCCAGAAGTTCCTCAAAAAGGAAGAGAAACACAGAAATATGGGGAAATAGTCTGCTATAATTTGTGGGGGGGGGATAGAAAAATAACAAGTCTTGGAATGGCATTTTTTTAATAACAAGGAGAATAACTTGGAGATAATAGATACGTTTTTAAGAGTGCACATTTTGTAATAATAATAATTGTTACCATTGGTTAAGGAGCTACTATGGGTCAGGTAGTTGCTAAGGGAATTTTACACATTAGCTCATGAAATGGAATCTCACTATAACAACCCCGCCAGAAAAAAAAATTAACCCCATTTTTATAGATAAACAAACTGAGGATTAGACAGGTTGAGCAATTTGCTAAAGGTCCCTTATTGAATAATTTGCAGATCTGGAATGCAAATCTAGTTATATGTTATTTCAACTTTTTGGTATCCTTTACTCTCACCTGCCTCTACATTACTTAAAATATAACCTATTAAAAGGTGTTTAATACAATTAAACAATGCAAAATTTAAAAGGCACTAGCTGATTTCTCTCCTTTTATTCTAAAATGATATTTTTTCTCTTTTTTTTTTCTCATATTCCAAAAGGAAACAGAAACATTAGCATACCTTTTAATGCTCGATTAATTGCTGTGGGAATCTACCTGAAGAGATCAGTAAGACCTCCAAGCGGACCCATTGATCCATCTATAGTGTCATTATGTGCCTCTCCATATGTGTGATGTCAGAGGAAAGGCTTTGTTCGTGAGAATCACAGAGCCATCATCCATCTGACTCCCTAGGTTTTGGTCACTTCTCACCTGCAGCGCTTCCCAGGAATATCTTCCTTGGCCTGTTATTATTTTTAATTGCTCACAGGGTGCTTCTTACTATTAAAGTTCTTGGCAACCAAGATCATCAGCATTACCTCGGAGGAGTCTCAGAAAATTGATTAGCAAGTTCAGCTCTGCTCTTTTGATGAGAACTAGGATATAGGGCGTCTGAGCTTTGCTCAAGGTCACAGAACCTGTCGGCTCTTCTTCAAAGACAGCATGAAGCACTTTGAAAGAATACATGCAAACCCAAAGTAACCAAACATAAGGAAAAGTTTCTGTGTGGTGGGACAAATAAACACTTTAACTCAGAGAGCCCTGAACTCACAGATTATATCTCACACCAAATAGTTAATAATAATAATAATAATATACATGCATTCAGCCTTGTTCCAGGAAATACTACTTAGTGCCTTTATTTTCTTTAGCAAATAATATAGCCTCTTTGAAACTCAGTTTCCTCATCTATAAAGTAGGAGTAATGACTTCATATCATTGTTTTGAGAAGGAAACGAGATGATGGTATCAATTACAACTCTTTTTATTCAAGAGATAGAAGCCCAATTAGAATAAGATTAAGCACAAAGAGCACTTTATTATGATGAAAGTAATGTCTCTCAAGAACTTGCATGCAGACAGATCTCAGGAAAAATGAAAAGCAGAGGCTCCAGTGCTGTCTGGAAGTTCTCCATGTTTACCTTCCTTTAATGCATAGATATCTTCCCTTCTCACTGTGCCTAAGCTTACAGGGTAGAACCGAGTCACCAGTGGCTCACAAAGCTACATCCACCCAACCCAGTCCAAGAGATTAAGAAACTAATTGGTCCACGTTCTAAGTACCAGGGAAGAACTGAAATTGCCCCAGCTCACGTCCTGTGCCTACGTTTGGACCAGTCAGTTATCTGCTGAAGGAGGAGGATTGTATTCCACTTGCATGGATGTCCCTGTGGTAAGCATGTACATGGGGAGGTGAGTATTTTATAGAAGAAAGGGGAAAGAGAGTTGCACCACAGCAGAAATAATTGGTGTCCACTACGAGAATACATAAAAAAGTTACCACACCACAGTGGGGCGCGGTGGCTCATGCCTGTAATCCCAGCACTTCGGGAGGCCAAGGCGGGCAGATCATGAGGTCAGGAGATCGAGACCATCCTGGCTATGGTCTCTACTAAAAATACAAAAAATTAGCCAGTTGTAGTAGCGGGCACCTATAGTCCCAGCTACTTGGGAGACTGAGGCAGGAGAATGGCGTGAACCCGGGAGGCGGAGCTTTCAGTGAGCCAAGATCATGCCACTGCACTCCAGCCTGGGTGACAGAGCGAGACTCCATCTCAAAAAAAAAAAAAAGTTACCACACCACTATACCCAGTCCAGAATAAATACATTTATGCATATGTTTTTCTTCTCAATATATATATTTCTACACATTTAAAAAGTCGTTTTTTTAAAAGGCAAAACAAAAATAGTACGTGTCTATTACAGTGAATATAGCTAGCCTACTGTTAAGATTCAGAAGAGAACATAGATGCTGTAGACAGTATATGTTTTATATGCCTAATAAACCTCTCATCAAGTAATTTGAAGACAAAATAGAAGTTCAACAAATTGAAAAACATATTTTTTGTCCTAACCCTATTCTCTCCCGTCTCTTAGAAATCCAAATCTTTTTTTATTTTCCACTCTTATCTTCTGTTACTTTTCTATCCTTGAATCACCTTAGTTTGGGGTCGATCATTAAGCATTTAGCATTAAAGATGTAAAGGATGGTATAAAGTACTTGAAACTATTTGAAAAAACAACGAAATGCCTCTATATGATTAGCGCTGAACAGAGTACCAGGCTGGGAATGGAAACAAAAAAAAAAAGCAATTTCTGTTTATCTCTCTTTTCCCAAAAATACACAGAGCAATTTTAGGCAAGTCATTTGTGTTCCCTGTAGCCATCCATAAATCTGCCGGGTAGTAACTAGCCTATTTGTTCTTCAGGATAAAGCCTGGGAATATCAATAGATTAACTATGAACAGGACCCATCTACAGGGAGAAGTGGAGAGGAATCTCAGAAAACTAGAGATTTCCCTCTCTTATCAGAAGATGAACTCCTACCCGGAAGAATCTATTTTGTGTGCAATACAAAATAATTTCTTCACTTGGGTCAAATTGCAAGAATCCAATTGCTCTCTGCCAATAAACTCCAGGCCTGAGTGAAGGATCCAGTAAATAAATTTCAGGTTTTGGAAAAAGACCACTTTGTGTCACTTTCCAGAATTCCTTCTGGTGATTACCAGTGTAATACTGAATAATTTTAGAAAGAATAATGTCGGAACCTCTCAGAATGATAAGAAATAAGTGTGGCTATCATGGTTTAAAAAAAAAAAGGAAATTTAAAGTCTTATTTTACATTGGATTTTGTTGCTATGACATGATTCCTTTTTAAGAAGGAGAAATTGGCCGGGCGCAGTGGCTCATGTCTGTAATCCCAGCACTTTGGGAGGCCAAGGCGGGCAGATCACAAGGTCAGGAGATCAAGACAATCCCGACTAAAACCGTGAAACCCCACCTCTACTAAAAATACAAAAAATTAGCCAGGCGTGGTGGCGGGAGCCTGCAGTCCCAGCTACTAGGAGGCTGAGGCAGGAGAATGGCGTGAACCTGGGAGGCAGAGCTTGCAGTGAGCCCAGATAGCGCCATTACACTCCAGCCTGGGTGACAGAGCAAGACTCTGTCTCAAAAAAAAAAAAAGAGGAATTAAATTTGGGAAGCAACAAATAATAGGAGAGGAGGTGCTAACTTGCCTAGAAATGTGTGTTACCAGTTAGAGGTTATTCCTTCATGACTGTTTTCAAATATGTTAAGAATTCATATGAAAAGAATTCCATGGAGGGAAAAGAGATACTAAAATAACATTATCTTAAAACACAACTCACATTTTCCATACGACAATAAAAATGTTTCTAACTGGGCTGCTTGGTTACAGCTTAAATGCAACATACATTGATGGAGGACTTGTGCCATTTTTAAGTTTATTGCACAGATGCTTAATTTGGGTTCTTTAAAAATCCTGTCATTTCATTTTTTTTTGGTAGTTAGGATATTAAAATATGCAAATAAGCATGTTATAGTTGATCAGTGCTAATCTATTCTGTAATAACTGATGTTCTCTCCCAACAGCCACCACTCCTTCTGTTCTTGTCACCTTCACCTGGGAGTCACAAAATGCTGAAGACAGTCACTTTTCACTTGATTCAATTTCAGGAGGTTGTAGCTAGGCCAAAATCCTCCACTTCCTCTTTCCTAAATACTTTTTCCCCCTCTCCTAATTATATGGCTTTGCATTGATTTACATGGATTTCAGCTTTCAAAAATTATTGGTCTTTGCTGAATGCAAATAAGCAAATGGGAAAATTATATTAAGTTTGCACAATTGATCTTTCATCATTTCAAATGGTACCTTTGAACAGTTCCTGAAATGTTTGTCTGAAATACTCCCAGCGTTGAGTGTCATCAAGAGGCGCTGGGTCACTCTGGGGAAACCCATTCTCAGTGATGTAAATTACAGGGTTATTATATGTATCCTAAAAAAAAAGAACAGAAGTTTTATTCCAAACAGATGTTTTAAAAAAAGAAAGCTCATAAAATCAGGTACATTACCCTCTATCTTCTGTAAGCTACAACCCCAAAACTAGTTTTCATCAAATTGCACTGACCCTATTAACTTAATTTTCCATGCACTGACCTTTTATAACTAACAATGGAAACGCAAAACTGTGCAAATGTCCATGAAGACAGTCAAATGACTCTTATTATAATGAGAAGACAGAAATATCTTTCTTCCATCAGCATCTGTTGATTGTCACTGCTCCTTAACCCCTCAGTCCTGCCAGTAGCTACATTCTACATCCCCCATAGGAGGGGTTCTGAAAACCTGTAATTGAAATTTTAATTTTAGCTAACTGGATGTCATCCACTATAGCTGAGACTCAAAAAAAGGATCCAACTATCTCAATCCTTAAAATGTCTTTTATAATCATAGTTGTGACACCAGATTGAAAAATATGTCCAAATTACTTCTATAGCCACAACTAACTTTAACAACAAATCCTAGACTTTGACCACTGCTTTTGAAGCCTTTACCGGCTAGTTACCCCTCATCAACTCAAATCCTAATCTGCTCTTCCCAGGCCAGCAAATGTATATGCTATTACCTAAAGTAATTCTTTTTTCAGGTCCATATATATATATATATATATACATATGCCTGTCTTGCCCACCTTCACATAATTGGGTGTACATGGACACACAAAAAATCATGCATTTACCTTAATATATTTCAGTAGTTTACATACTCCCCATGGTACCACGTAGATCCAATCCACATTTTTCCAAGATGGATCTGGAAAAAATTCAATTTCCGCATCCTGGAGAATACCTAGTTCTCCTTTCTTGTTCTCCTGGTACTTGATTAAGCGAGTTGTATAATATTGCACAGCAAAAAAATCAGCAGTGCCTTTGATCATTTTCTTCTCTTCTTCAGTGAATTCTGGAAGCCTCGATGATGGATAGCCTTGCTTTTGACTCATGGAGGCAATCTGAGACTTGACAACTTCAGGATAATCACCATCGATGAATATGGGTTTAGCAAATAAATCCAGATGGAAAGTGATGGCTCTTTTAGCAGCTTCCTGGTCAGACACTGAGTTGGGATCTGCTGGTTCCAACCAGACCGCAAAAAGTGATAGAGACACCATACCTTTCTGCTTTTTTCGAAATAAGGAATCATAGCTGTGCCAGGATCTGGCATGAGCCTTAATCAAATTATGAGCTGCCTGATAACCTCCAGTCCCAAAGTGAGGGATACCCGGAGGAAACATACCTAAGTCATATGACATCACAGAAAGAACATTAGCTTCATTTATGGTGATCCACTGCTTGACACGATCCCCAAAGGTACTGAAGCAAAACTGAGCATATTTGTCAAAGGATTCAATGATTGCCTCTGACAACCAACCTCCTTGGTCTTCTAAAGTCTGAGGCAAATCAAAGTGGTAGAGGGTCACAATGGGAGTAACCCCATTTTTTAACAAATCATCGATGATCTTGTTGTAATAATCAATTCCTAGGAGGAAAAAGAAAGTGCCCTAAGAAGAAAAGTTATTTGTAGTATATTGGCAATAAATTTTAAAAGGGAGAATATCAAAAACAATTTTCTGAATGACTTTTATTCAAAACAAGTTTTACTACTTCCTTGATATAATCAATGAAAGACTGAGAGGAAACACTGAGAATTCCAAAGAAGAGTAGTTGATCAGGAAGTAGGAGTTTAATGGGGTGACATGATTGAAAGATAAACGTATTGAAATGGATACATTTAGGCAGATCGCTGTTATCTAACTTTGTGTTATTTTCATACATATTGAAATGATTTCATGCATTTGTATGTATGCTCATTTTTGTCTCTTAGCCCCACTAGAATATAAGCCCCATGATAGCAGAAGGCTTGTTTAATTCACCTCTGGATCTCCAAATCCTGGGATAGTACCAGAAATTTAGAGGCTAATAAATATTTCTTTAATAAATGCATGGATCCGATGGTATTAAATATAAAGTAAAGGAATTGATCCAGATGACTGCCTTAATGCTTTTCCAGGTCAACTAGTCTCACAAGTCTAGGAAAAGAGACCTACTGAGAATGAACAAGAGCTCAGCATCTGCCCCAGAATCTGGGTTACAAGGACAGACAGCCAGAGGCTTAGGACATTAAAAGCACCCAGTTGGAGGTTTGCTCTAAAACTCCAACATAGTTCATGGGGATACATAGCCACCTCTGGCTCTCATCTGATTTTTCCAGGACTGCAAGTATGTAAGAGAGAGTTTTTAGGCTTGCTGCAGAGTTCAGAAGAAAGTTTCTAAATTGAACATGACCTGGCTCAGAATTTATGTCAAGAATTCACTGAGTCTAGCTTAATGATGACGATTAGCTTGGAAGAGGCTTTCTGGGAAGAGGCTGATGTTAGTATTTCATGTGGTTTTATATTTAAAAATATGGAGGCAACCTAAGCTTAGACAAGAGAAGCTGCCCTGTTTTAAGAAGTTGTTTCCTGGATAAAAATTATGAAGTCATATGTAGAAGTGTGTTGCATTGAAAGTCTGCCTAAGGTCCCTTTCTTTTTTCTTAAGAGCCTCCAATTTTTAAAAATAACAATTCACACTTTTGTATGTATTTCATTAATTCGATCATTTGTTTGTTAATTCCTTAAATACACATTAATAGAGAAACTACTATATGCTTGACATACAAACATAAGCAAAACAAACACCACCCTTGTCCTCAGGGAGCTTAGTAGCAGAGACTACAGAGAAATTCATAAACAATTACAATAGAGTAGTAGATAAATTACAGAGTCCTATTTAAACATATGAGAAGGGATATCCATCCTAAACTCAGGGTATTTGAAAATATTCTGAAAGCAACATAGCGTAATTGTTTCAAGAGTGAATTATGGTGCCAGACCACCTAAATTCTGTCCTAAGTCTTTCACCTAGTAGCTCTGCAACCTTGGGCAAGATCCTTAATATCTCTGAATTATCTTTTCCTGTATGAGAAATGTGGATAATAAGAGAAACCTTCTTCAGTTAACTGTTGTGAGAGTTTAATGAGCTGGTAAATTAAACATGTTTAGAACAGTTCTTGGCATATGGTAAGGGCTCAGTACAGGTTAGCTATCACCGAAATAGTAATTATTATTGTTATTAGTGACATCTAAGCTGATATTTAAAATATGAATACAAGTTAATCGCTTAAGGTAAGGAGAAAAATGTGATCAAGGAAGAGAAAAAGAGGAAACAAAAACAATACACAAAGGAAATGTTAAAACAAAGACCACTCAAATGAGAAAAACAGACTATTTACTCAGAGTTTGCTATAGCAAGAGAGTCAGCCACCAATACTTGCATTTGGCAGGTATTCAAATACAGTCAGGACAGAGGAAAAGCTTTAGAGTGGAAAAAAGAGAACCCTTGGGTGTGCCCTGATTAAAGTTTGTTGGCCTTGGGAAGCTATTGGAGAGCTAACTAGAAGCAGGGCATCCTTTCTGATTAGTTTGGGGAGCACATTTGGTTTTCTCAGGTTGCTCCTGAGTTGGAAGCAGAGAGCAGGGGGTTAGAAAATAGAGAAGGTATCAGTTGACCACACTGTGACTACTCTGGGCTGATTGCTGCAGAGGCTAAGGTTTGGCTTCCTGGGTTTCCTTTGTCAGTCTGAGTTTTATTATCAGATATGACCTGGCCAGTGTTTGTATATTCACTCACTTTCTGGAAATAAAAAGTTCAGTATAAGGAGGAATAGAATGGTCAAAAGAGGAATAGAATGGTGAGAGATGAGCAAGGTAAGCAGAAGCCAAATTATGCACAATCATGTGTTTTCTCTCTGTCTGGGTAAGTGGGTATTTTTGACACCATCTCATTTATTTTGCAAACTGGAATGTACTGTGAATCATGCATAACAACTCCATATTTGGAAGACACACTTCTGTGCTATTTCTCACTTGGTAGCAGAATAACTCATCCTCTCCCCAGAGATGTCCGTTCTCTAATCCGTGAAACGGGTGAACATGTTACCTTCCATGGCAAAAGGGACTTGGCAGATGCAATTAAGGTATGGACCTTGAATTGGGAAGAGTTCCCTAGAGTGTCCAGGTGGATCCAATATAACTACATGAGTTTTTAGAAGTGGAAGAGTAAGACAGAAGAGTGGGTCAGAGAGATGCAACAACGGAAGAAGAGGAGGAGAAGTGGCAGCTTGAGAGAAACTCAACCCACTACTGCTGGCTTTAAAAATGGAGGAAGAGGGCCAGGCGCGGTGGCTCATGCTTGTAATCCCAGCACTTTGGGAGGCAAAGTTGTGCGGATCACGAGGTCAGGAGTTTGAGACAAGCCTGATCAACATGGTGAAACCCCATCTCTAAAAAAATACAAAAATTAGCTGGGTGTAGTGGTGCGCGCCTATAGTCCCAGCTGCTCAGGAGTCTGAGGCAGGGGAATGGCGTGAACCCGGGAAGCGGAGCTTGCAGTGAGCCGAGATCGCACCACTGCACTCCAGCCCGGGCAACAGAGTGAGACTCCATCTCAAAAGAAAAAAAAAAGAAAGAAAATGGAGGAAGGAGACCCACCATGAGCCAAGGAATGCAGATGGCTTCTCAAAGCTGAGAACAGTCCTTAGCTGATAGCCAGAGCAAGATAATAAAGACCTCAGTTCTACAATCACAAGGAACTGAATTCTGCCAACAACCTGAATGCACCAAGAGACAGACTCTTCCAAAGATCCCTCAGAAAGAGACACAGACGTGCAGGTATCTTGATTTCAGCCTCACAGACACCCATGTCAGACTTCTGACCTGCAGAACTCTAAGGTAACAAATTTTTGTTGTTTTAAGCAGCTAATATGTGATAATTTGTTACAGTAGCAATAAAACTAACATACTCATGAAATTTTATAAACTATCCTTTTTTCTCTCAAAGAGAGTATTTCACCATCCCACCCCTGGGCCCCCATAAACCCACATTTCTATATTTGTGAATGAGATATCTAAAGATAAAATGATAAAATAATCTGGGTATTGGTATGTGTGAGGGTTTTCATAGCCAACTCTTTCCATTGACTTTGAACATGAAAATAATATTAGCTTTCATTTATTGAACTCGTACTATGCATTTTGCCAAATCCAAGCGCTAAGCTCTAGAGATAGGTGTTTTTATTCCCATTTAAAAATGAGAAAACAGATTCAGAGAGTCTCAATGTTGACAAATGGCATGGCCCACATTTAATCCCAGTCTGTCTCACTACAAAGACTGAACTGTTCTCACTATGACATCCCACTTCTCATGTTAACTAATGTTCCTGAGCCGGAAACATGTGACTCTATTTTACCAGCGTTCATGGTCACCTACTTCAGACCTGATCACAATATCAAATTCCTTTTTCCCCCTTTGTGGAGAAGTCATTAATGATGGCCAATCAATGTAATTCAAACCACATGATAACTGTCTGTTGAAAGGAAGATAAGTAAATTTTAAGAAAATTTTCTTCTCACTCATCAGCACAGCAGAGCAACAGAGCATTGCATAATTAACATTCACTATCCCAGAATTAAGCACTTCACTTCTCGATCATACAGTTTATTCAATATTGTAATGAAACTTTTCCATGAAGTGGAGCGGGAATTTTTTTTTTTTTTTTTTTTTTTGAGATGGAGTCTCCCTCTGTCGCCCAGGCTGGAGTGCAGTGGCATGATCTTGGCTCACTGCAAGCTCTTCCTCCCAGGTTCACGCCATTCTCCTGACTCAGCCTCCCGAATAGCTGGGACTACAGGCGCCCGCCACCACGCCCGGCTAATTTTTTGTAGTTTTAGTAAAGACAGGGTTTCATTGTGTTAGCCAGGATGGTCTTGATCTCCTGACCTCATGATCCACCCACCTCAGCCTCCCAAAGTGCTGGAATTACAGGCTTGAGCCACCGCACCCGGCCAGAGTGGGATTTTTAAGAGGAGAGCCCCAGACCCAGAAAACTCAGTCAAAGGATCTTGGATAAATCACTGGTCTCTCTACACCTCAGTATCCTCATCTGTAAAATGGGAATGTTAATACTGCCACCTTAGGAGCATGTGAGTATTGAATGAGAATAAAACTGCCAAAGGGTTATTTAACTTTGTTTTTCAGAATAGTGTAAGTCACTGATAAACAAATTCTCCTTCTGAATAAATGTGTATTTTTTAAATGATCACCTGTTACCAATCTAGGGATTTTGAAACTTTGAGAGGTCATTTGGATCCCATTCTGCTTCTGGGTATTTAGGACAGAATTGATTATTTTAAGGATTAAAACTTCTATAGCTTTCTTTCATAGTCAATATTATCTTCTCTAATTAAGCTGATTTCTGCCTATTTGATCTTAGAAAATATGAAACATATTTGAGGTAGAGGTCTTTTGGATATAACAAAAACCAACCCAGATGAACTCATATACAAAGGTGGCACTGGGGGCAGTTGGGTAGTAGATATAGATGCAGTGGACATTATTTTAAATGACAGAAATAGATCAGGGACTCAATGACAGAAAATAATGGCAAGTGGAAGTCAAAAGAATTGAAGTTGGGAGCTGAGAAAATCTTTGCTTCTCAGGGAAAACTGATCTCTTCCATCCCAGCTTCTCTCAACACATCTGCTCCATTTCGTCTTTCAGAAACAGCTTTCCCTTCTGATTCAAGCAGCAGAGACAAAACAGAAAAATATATACTTAAGAAAGAACCAGTTTTCTTTACACACTCAATCTGTTGTGGTCTCAAAATGGCCGTCCCACCTGCCAAAGCTACTTCTGAGCCCCAGTGCCAACCACCAACCAACTCAGCCTCTCAGTACCTCAATTCCAGACATCCTTGAGGGAGGAAAACAATGGAGCAAGCTCCTATTTTTCCATGAGGTCACAGCTCATTATAAGTCCAGGGAAAAATGTCTTTCCTTTGTCCTGTCAGCTGTGACCTGGGGTCAAGCAGGATTATATAAAACAAAGATATAGGGGAATTCCCCTAGAAGAGGGCGTGGCTCGAACTTGCAAAGATGATGTCTCAAATTAAAAAAAAAATTGACCTAGAATCCTCCTTCAACAAAAAAAAGTAACATAGAATTCCTTTGATCTCATGCCTACCATGCATCAAGTTTACAACTTTCTTTGGTTCACACCTTTCTAGATTCACACCATTCACACCATCGGTTTCTTTTCTTTCTTTTCTTTTTTTTTTTTTTTTTTGACAGAATCTCGCTCTGTCACCCAGGCTGGAGTGTGATCTCAACTCACTGCAACTTCTGACTCCCTGGTTCAAGCGATTCTCCTGCCTCAGCCTCCCGAGTAGCTGGGATTACAGGCACGTGCCACCACACCCAGCTAATTTTTGTATTTTTAGTAGAGACGGGGTTTCACCATATTGGCCAGGAGGGTCTTGATCTCCTGAACTCGTGATCCCCCACCTCCCATCAATTTCTTTAACTGCTCCTGTGTTCTCTTGCCACACTGCCTGTATTAGTTTCCTATTGCTGCTAAAACAAATTACCACAAACTTAGTGGCAGGACCAAGACAAATGCATTATGTTACAGTTCTGGGGGCCAGAGGTCCAAAACAGTGCTTATTGGGCTAATCAAGATGTCAGCAAAGTTATATTCCTTCTGGAGGCTCTCAGGTGGAATTCATCTTTCTACCTTTTCCAGGTGGCAGAGGCGACCTGCATTCCTTCCCTCATGGCTTCTTCTCCCATCTTCATCCTCACCTCTTCTCTTTGACCTCTGCTTTAATCATTATCTCTTTTACCTCTTCTCTCTGACTCTGATCTTTCTACCTTTCTCTTTTAAGGACCCATGTAATTATACTTGGACCACACAGATAGTCCAGGACAATCTCCTCCTCTCAAAATCCTTCCCTTAATCATATCTGTAAAGTTTGTTTTACCATGCAAGCTAATACACTCACAATTCCTAAGAATCAGAACATGAACACCTTCAGAGGGCCATTTTCAGTCTATTATAGTGCCCAACATAGAATACAAGATTAATGCTTGTTTAGTTAATTTATTTAAACCATCCCTGCTAAGAGAACTCATATTTTAAATCTTCAAGTGAGCACTAAATTCTGCATAAATATTCCCTTTTTTTATTTCCAATACTTGGGCTTCCCACTAATCGTCTGAAATTTACATTTGTGGCAGATATGAACATGCACTTGAACAGTTGAGAAATACAGGAATATGTGATTTCAGTTGCCAACTCAATCTTTTCTTGTTAAACTTTGAAAAACTGACATTTGAAAGAGACAGTCTGTAACAATTCCACTTCATAAAAACATTCTTCTAGTTTGGGGACACAGAATTTTACAAGTTTCCAAATGTCCTATAATCAAGCTTTGAAATGGATAGTCAAACACAAAAAGGTCGTTCCTTGGGAAGAACAGTGACAGGGATTTTCTAATTCTTCGCATGCTTTTTGAGAAAATATTTAAATGGGAAAAAAGAGATGGCCTTTCCAAGTTAAAACCATTCCAATTGCTTCAACAGATCACTGCACAAGAATGAACAACTGCTTATTGAAATTCCACCTCCTGGATGCACCTCCAGTGCCCTCTTGTTCAAAGCAAAGTCTGTAATATTAATCAGCCATGGTTTTACCAAAGCTAGGGCCAAACACAAAAATCTCAGTGCTACAGGCACGTGATCCCCACGTGAGATCTGCATGAGCAATTTCTCCACAATATTCAGGTGGTTTCCATGACTTCAGTACCACCACCCCCACTCTCCAGTGGTTTCGGTTTCCTTGCTCTTGGATTGCTGATCTACAGTGTGTCTCTACAAACTTCTGAGTATCTCAAGTTGGTTTTCAAAGCTGAATATGTTGACATATTGGTACAGGTACATAATCTTGTGTCTGAAAATCTTAGGGGCATATGAGTTCAGAATGTTTTAGAAAGGAAACACAGAGCATATACCATATATTAACACTCTCAGTGAATCTGAGTGAGTATCTCCTAATATGTCTGTAGTAAAATAAATAAATATTATCACCAAACAGAATAAATATTCACAACAATTCAGTTAGCTTTTGCTGCCAATTTAATTTTAGAAAGATTTAGTAATAAGAGCCTTTTGATTTTAGAACTTCAGATACGGCACTGTGGACCAATACTACAAGTTGGTGGGTTTTTGGTTTCTGCTGTTGTTGTTGTTGTTTACCATCCAAATGGAAGCTCAGTAAAAACTCCAAACCCCTAGAATGAGTACAAGAAGTTTTAGTACCATAAGGCCTCCACTTCATTTAACCAACAGGGAAACTGTAGCACAGAGAATTCAAGTGGTTTGGCCAAACTTACTGAGCTCTAGACTAGATGCAAGATTTTTTATGTCAGACAAGCCTAGGTTGAACCTAACTAAATTTGTCATCTTGGCAAATTTATGCCTAACCTTATTTCCCATGTTAGCATTATTGCTTCTGTTTAGAGATGCCCCTCATTCATAGGACTGTTATGAACATTAAATCAACAAAAGTATGTGCAATGTTTGCATGGTGAGCTCTGTATATCATATGCTCAATGAAAGGCAAGCATTACTACCCTTAGAGTTATTTTTATGATTGTTATTGACCTAATTCAATTGAATTCAATAATTTTTACTGAATCCCTTCCATGGATGGTGCTGGACTAGATTACAAGGGTAACAGGGCAGAATTATCTACCCATTACACTGTAAACAATTCCAGGGGTTCTCTAATATGAATGTCATGAGTACTTAGCACAGTCCCTGACACAATAAACATTCAGCACACTTTGGTTGAATTGAATTAAACTTAAGGCACCCATAGTCTAACATGGGATATAGTAACAGTTAACAATGAAGAATGTGAGAAATATCTTAAGAGCTTCGCAAAGTGCCATGAGAATAAAAAAAAAAAAAGAGAGATTTTTTTTCTGGCTTAGAATAGAGAAATACTGTAAAGAAGAGGGCAATTGTGCTAGCCCTGAACAGCAGGACAGGCCTTCAGCAGGTATAGTTGGGGTTAATGAAAGCTCATTCTAGGCAGAATAAAAAGCTTAAGCAAATTCCTACAAGGTGGAAAACTGTATGGTATGTTTAATAAGTAGTGGGTTACTTATACTTACAGATAAAAGATTATAGACCTGTACCAATGTGTGTTTAGGATATTGCGTGATCATACACGTGGGGTAATCACCTCCAAAACTGCAAAGTTTTTGGAGGTGATTAAGTCTAAGTCAAATAGAGCCTGGAATGATATATGAAGGAGTATGGACTGTATATTGAGGCTTTGAGTGACTAAATTATTACTACTATTATTATTATTATTATTATCTGAGACCAAATTTCGCTCTTGTTGCCCAGGCTGGAGTGCAATGATGCGATCTTGGCTCATGGCAACCTCTGCCTTCTGGGTTCAAGCGATTCTCCTGCCTCAGCCTCCCAAGTAGCTGGGATTACAGGCATACACCACCACACCCAGCTAATTTTGTATTTTAGTAGAGACGGGGTTTCTCCATGTTGGTCAGGCTGGTCTCGAACTCCCGAACTCAGGTGATCCACCTGCCTCAGCCTTCCAAAGTTCTGAGATTACAGGCATGAGCCACCACGCATCTTGCTTCATTTTTAGCAGTAGATGATCCAAACCAATACGATTTGGGTCAACCTTTAGGAAAATTGCTATGATGGCATCTTATAGAAAGCAAAGGACAGACAGAAGGTGAAAACAGATAGATTCATCAAGGATATATCAAAAAGTCCTTGTAAGAATGATAAATACCCAAACTAGGGCAGGGGCAAAAAGAGGGATTAGAAGATAAGTTAAAAAGTCATAATTAGAATGGACTATATTCAGCAACCCATTAGATGGAGGAAGAAAAGACAAGAAAGGATTCAAAGGTTATTTTTGTTTTTTAGACTTTGGAGTAAGGTGGTGCCAGAAAGAAAGGAGAATACAGATGTTGGATTAGGAAGATTGAAGATAATAAGTTCACTTTTAAACTGAACAACAAATTACCTTCCATTCAACATAAAAAATAAAACTAGTCAGAGATGGCAAGAAAGTATACATCTAATCAGCAGCAACTGGTCATGGGCCAATGTCTTTAGAATCAGGGAATGAGCCTGCTGATCCTAAACTGTCCCTATTTTGGAGAAGCTACTCTAGGGCTGATACTACACGTGAGTTCATGAGTTGCAATTCTATTTCATGATGTGAAGATTATCCCAACTTAAATAAAATGAGCTTTTCAAGTGCACAAGCCCATCTAGGAATTGTCATCAAGGGTTGTTCTATATAGGGAATCACATAAGTTACTCACGAATAATGCCTTTGTATTAATGAAGGTTCTTGGGATGGGAAGCATGGCGAGGCAAGCAGGTGTTCTCTTAGGTCATACAAGTGAGGCCTGTCCTTAAATTTAAGAGGCTCTCCTTAAATTTTATGCCCTAGACACCTCATTGCTTCACCTAGTCCCAGCACCATAGATGGTGTAAAATCTTTTCTAAGACAAAGTAGTAATAAAGTGTCTTCATTAAGAAACCATATGTCGTAGTGCAAGGGTTGGCAAACTTTTCCTGTAAAGGACCAGATAGCAAATATTTGAGGCTTTGCAGGCCATATGGTCTCTGCCCTAGCTACTCAATTCTGCCATTAAAGTGGAAAAGTAACCATAGATGATGCATAATGAACAGGCATGTCTATGTTTCAATCAAACTTTATTTACAAAAATAGATGACAGGCCACATTTGACCTTCAGGTCATAGTTTTCCAACCATGTTTTGTAGAAAGAGCTAGCTAGACCTTAGGTTTAAATAACTGAGCGGCCATTTGCCAAATATGTGGATTTGGACATACACCTCTGTAAAATATGATCACTATGCCTTCCCTACTGTTGGTGAGAATTAAAGAAAATGGGTGAAAATGCCTCATAAATAACAGGCATTCAATAGAGCAATGACTGGTCCTTTTACTTACAAGGCATAATAAGAAGAATAGCTAACACTTACTAAATGCTTTTGAAATGTTAGCAACCGTGTTAAGCACTTTACAAAGATTATTTCATTTAACCTTCCAACAACTCTCTGAATTAGTCACTATTACAGCATTCTTTTCTGTTCATGGGGAAACTGAGGCACTGAGAGATGCCCAAGAGATGTTTATACAGATAGTAAGTGATGTAGCTGGACTTAATCTTCAGTAAGTGAACTCCAGGGGCCTTGGTGTTAACCCCATGCTAGTTAATTAGCTCCACTAATTCAGCCCTAATTGAAGTGCTTAGAATCATCTCAAGTTCTTCAGGACTTTTCATAACTCATCACAGGGTTACACAACTGAAAATAGTTTAATACAAATTTTTTAAATTTACCTTCAGATTAACACTCACGTTACATAATAAAACACTTATTCTAACCTCCCTCCCACTCATCACCCCCAGAAAAGATCTCAACAGTCAAAGAAAACCAAAATATTACTGTGAAAACTAATGCAAACCCATTTCAAAAAATTTATCCCATAATCACTCTAAAAACTTGCAATTTGAAAGCTACATTGCAGAATAGCATACTGGATTAATTATGCCAGACTGCAGCAATAACCTTGAATTAAAGCTGCAACCTTCTATTTTTAAGAAACACTTGCCTTTCTGGTTGATGAAACCTGTCGTCCCATCAGGTAACAGACGTGACCAGGAAAGAGAGAAGCGGTAATGAGTCAATCCAAGCTGTTTGATACATTTCAAATCTTCCTCCCACAGAGTGTAGCTGCCACAAGCTACATCGCCAGTCTGGTTCTTGAAAACTCTCTCTCCTCCCTGATGAGTAAATGTGTCCCAGACACAAGGGCCTTTTCCATCTGCATCCCAGCCTCCTGAGAAAAAGAAGAAAATGAAACAGTTACACTCTTGACATCAAGAGGCATATGTGGAATGTAAATATTTGTCACCAAAAGAACATACCTCATTAACTCAATGTACCATATTTATAACCTTTAAAATATAAGCCTTTAAAATAACATGCATGAGCGGATTATGTGTTTAGCTGTCCTTGATCCCTGAAGCTGACTGGTGGCAAATGAAAAATTATTGCATAGCGCCGCTGCATAGCAGGCTTTCATGTTTCATTATCTGAAGACCTCCCAGCTGGTAAACAGAGGCAGGCCCTGGCTTATGAATATCTGAGTTGAAAACATCTCCTCCTTGCAAACATTCCCCCTGGCCATGACTAACATGCCTTGTCCTTATGCGTGACAGGATCTTGGGACTTTATGTGTGGCCCTTGACATTTAAACCCTATTTTCCTATTCTCTGACAATGGAGGCTGTGCTGGTCCAGTCCATCTCTGGAGGGGAGGGAGCCCTGGTTTCCACCACTGCTTATACGATATTGCTATCTGAAACTCATTCATTCATACTGCCCTTGACTCAACAAATATTATGTGTCAAGCAGGATAACAAGCCCAGGGGATACCAGAGTGAACTATGTTGTGTCTCATGTTTTGGGGAATTTACGTAACAGCCAATGTAAAGGCCCTTTCTTTTTCAGAAACGAGGGAAGGGCATTTATCCAAGTGTGGGCTGGAGTCAGAGGAGGTCTCTTTCTGCTCAATTTTCCTGTAAGCCTACAACTGATCTAAAATATAAAGTCCATTAATTTAATAAAAGAACATATCCAGTATGTTTATCATATTTTATATATTTAAAAATATATGTAACAATCCACGTATATTCTGAGCATATACATGTGAGGTAGAAGTATCGCATGCCTGGGAATGATCAATTCAGGTGAGTGATTACCTTTGAGGAAAAGAGAAGGAAGTGGAACCATGGAGGGGTCTACAGGGCCTTCAAATGCATCTCTTATGTTTCACTCATTAAACAAGGTAGAAGGTATATGAGGGGCTGTTTATTACATTTTTGGCAATCCCTTTCTATAAGCCTAATATATAATATCTTATAATTACTATGTAAGAAAAGAGGTCACAGCTGGAGTAAAATAGATGAAAACAATTACCTCATTGAGCATCTACATACTCATATTTTGTGCACAGATCTAAAAGGATTAGGTATAGTCTCCAGTTCCAACCTCAGGACAGCAGGAGTGATAAGTCATGGACGGCGCCATGAGGATACAGAAGAGGCTGCTAAAAGGAGCTCTGACAAAAGCAAAAGTGGTCATTGATATCAAGGTAGAATACTAAATATCTATTCAAAAAAAGCTATGAATATTCGAAAGTATTTTACTTTGGAGCCATGTAATTATAGAAGCAAATAGTTTTACACAATCCAGTGACTCTCAAGTTATGTCTACATATGGGGTTTAGAGGAATGGGGATAAAAGAAGAGTGGTATTCATAGAATGAAATAGGAACAAACACAAAACTAAAATTTTTGAAGTATGATGCTCATAGTTTTGAATGATTGATTTAATACATGAAAAAGCTTAATCTCAGCTTAAGCAATGGTGTATTGGTATATATTTAACTGGCTATATGTTAAAAAATAAGTATAGACCTATATGTATATATGTTTATTATCAATTTTGCTGATATAAAGTATGCATAATACACAATTTACAAATAATAAACTATGCAATGCCCTTTTCTGTGAACTCCATATAACCAACTGATTCTCATATAGGATGCTCTTTTAGATTTTTGGCAAAGTCATATTGGTAGCTATATTAGTCTGTTCTCACACTGCTATAAAGATACTATCTGAGACTGGGTAATTTATGAACAAAGGAGGTTTAATTGACTCACAGTTCTGCATGGCTGGGGAGGCCTCGGGAAATTTACAATCAGGGGGAAGAGGAAGCAGGTACTTTCTTCACAAGGTGGCAAAAAAGAGAGAAGTAGTGAAGGAGGAGCGCTTTCTTTCAAACACTTACAAACCCATCAGATTTCATGAGAACTCATTCACTATCATGAGAACAATGGGGGAAACCACCCCCATGATCCAATCACCTCCCTCCCTTGATGTGTGGGGATTACAGGACCTTCCCTCAACACACGGGGATTACAATTCAAGATGAGATTTGGGGCAGGGCGCGGGGGCACCATAGAGCCAAACCATATCAGTAGCCAACCTACAGTTGTAATTTGACAAATGCATGTAGTTATCATATGACTTTTGGTTAATATTTTTCCTTATATTCACAGGTAGAAGGAAAAGAAGACAAAAGATGTACCAGAACTTCACTTTTTACCACTGACACGAGCTACTTCTTTGTTGAATCAGGTAACAGTTTTCAAACACTGGTAACTGTCTCCTCAATTTTTGGTGCTACTCACAACACCACAGCCACAGACATGACACACTTTTAAGTTGAATCCATATTATTAACATGTTTCCTATCACTTTCTAAGGTCTAGACAACTAGCAAAACAATAAATCAAATAATGACTTCTAGCATCAGCCAATTTCTGCAACCATGATATCCGTGAAGGCAGAGCTGGGAAAAGAAGAGCCGTAGCAGCACACCATATTACAGTGTTTCTCCTATTCAAATACAAGAGATCTAAATTACCTCAAGGCCATAGAAAACAGTGAAATTTGGTAATTAGTTAAGTAATGATTTTAAGTATTTACTAACTTTGTTTTTGATATAATTTACCTATAAGCTTATATAAGTAATTTTTAATAAAGTCTGTGTTAAAGAATCAGCTCACACAAAAACTCAATAGGCTCTCATGAGCCAGCACAAGCGGGCTTCACCACATCACTTACAACTAACTTGAATAAGATCACACCATTAGGAAGTAACAGTGCTAAGATTTGTATTCAGATCTTAGAAGTCTAAGATTCTGCCATTGGACCATGTTGCTCTTAGTAATAATTACGCAGAGTGATGAAGAAAAAGTCAGCTGATGACCAAACTACTTCATTTATCAAGACTAAGAAGTGCAAAACATAATCTATACATTTTGGAAAGCAGTACAAGTAACATAACTCAAACAAGTTTTGACAATTTTAACAGGTCAATGTCACTTAGCAGGAACATGTACTGAGGTGGAGTCGCTTATTCTCCACATGTACTAGGCTAGACAAAGCAGAACTAAACAACATTGTTTCTAAAAAAAACTAATCTTCAAATTGATAACTAACAATTATAACTGAAATTGGATAAAAATCATATAAAGGCCAATATTTGTTAGTAGTTTTAATGTAAATCTTACTATATGAATGATATTAATAACTCATTTGCCCATTAGAAATTTTCTCCCGTTGCAATTATGCCCACATTCTAAAAGCATGATGTCCTTTATGATGAATAAGACTACTGTTTCCAGGTGGACTGCATACTCAGAGCCATTCTCCAAACAATTATGATTGTTGGATTACATATAGGAAATACACTTTTTAATGCATTGTTACTCTAGCAGGAGGTTAGGTGACCCAAACACAAAGGGCGAGGGGTAATTTAGATGCATATGTGAGTAGTGATGCAGGCTTTTGTACTGGGAGTGTCTGCTAAGTTCAGACCATCTGAGCTTTCATTTTAATGGCTTGTGGAACAAGGGAGAAAGGAGACAAAGTCTAAGATGCATCAAAGATGAAAAGTATAAATAGAGATGGTCACAAAAAGCTGGTATGCAAGGACTTCATATCCTTTGCAAAAAAAAACTGGAGACAAACCCAACCTGCAGAAAGAGAGAACAAAAAAATTAGCTTGATTCAAACTTGGGTGGAGAGAGGAAATTACTCCTCAATATTTGTAACCACAATTCAGCCATCAAACCATTAAGTGTGAGAATGGGAAAAAGATATTTTCAGATACATGAGCTCTCAAAAATTTCCTCTCTTTGGATATTACTGGAGGATACATTTTACTAAAACAATGATGTAATCAAGAAAGATAAAGATCTAGGATCCAGGAAAAAAGAAATTCAGGAGAAGAAATTGACAAAATCACTGAGTGATATTGTATTACTCTTCTTATGTTGCTAATAAAGATATACCTGAGACTGGGTAATTTATAAAGGAAAGAGGTTTAATTGACTCACAATCCCTCAGGGCTGGGGAGGCTTCAGTAAATTCACAATCATGGCAGAAGGGGAAGCCAACATGCCTTTCTTCACATGACAGCATCAGGGAGAAGTGCAGAGTAAAGCCAGATGAACTCACTCATTATCATGAGAACAGCATGGAGGTAACCGCCCCTGTGTTTCAATTACCTCCCACTAAGTTCCTCCAATGACATGTGGGGATTATGGGAACTAGAGTTCAAGATGAGATTTGGCTGGGGACACGGTCAAACCATATTAGATATGGACTAAATTGTAGCCCCTCGAAATTTATATATTAAAGCTCTAACCCCCAATGTAACTGGATTTGGAGATAGGGTCTTGAAGGAGGTAATGATTGTTAAATGAGGTTATAAGGGTGAGGGTCTAATCCAAAATGTCTAGTGTCCTTATAAAAAGAGAGAGAGAGATCAGGAATGTGTGAACACAGACAAAAGGTATTTTGTTTTGGCAGTCCTGGCAAACTCATGCAGGAGTATAAAGGCAAAGGGAAACTTCCAGGATGATAGCTATGCAGTAGACACAGGGAGTACCCAGTCTGTTTGAGCAGGCGACAGGCTGTGAGAGCTATTTCCTCAAGAAGATGATACAAATAGAATATCTAGTATGTTGTATTAGTCTGGGTTCTCCAGAAAACCAATAAGGTAGAGATATATAGTTTTATTATAGTAATTGGCTCACTCAATTTTGGAAACCAAGAAGTCCCACAGTCTTCTATCTGCATTCTGGAGAACGAGGAAAGCTGTTAAGCTGGTGGTATAACTGAATCTAAGTCTGAAAGTCCGAGAATCAGGAGTGCCAGTGTATGAGGGCAAGAAATAAATGTCCAGCTCAGAGCAAATTTTCCCTTCCTTGCCTTTTGTTCTATTCAAACCAACTGATTAGATGATGCCCACCCACACTGATGAGAGTAATCTTCTCCACTCACTCTACCAATTCCAATGCTAATCTATTTCAGAAACACCCTCACAGACACACTTAGAAATAATATTTTACTAGCTATGTGGGCATCTCATAGCTCAGTAAAGTTGACACATACAATTAACCATTACATAAGTTTTATTTAAAAAAATAAATTATCATGGGACTTTCAACAGTCATAAAAGTAGAATAGCATGAAACCCATGTACTTGTCACACATCTGCAGCAGTCTTCAACATTTTGCCAATCTTTTTTGTCTGAATCCACCCAAGCTTCCTCATTCAATCTGTAATCATTTTATTGTGTATCGTGAACTAACAAAAATATTGTTCTAATTGTGGTAAAATACACATCAAATTTACCATCATAACCATTTTTAAGAGTATAGTTCTGTGACATGAAATATATTCATATTGTTTAGCAACCATCAACACTATCATTTCTCCAGAGTTTTTTAAATATTCAAAACTAAAACATTGCAAAAATTAAACAATTACTCAACATTCCTTCCTCCTCCAAGCCCCTAGTAACCACCATTCTACTTTCTGGTTTTGACTACTCTAGGTACCTCAGAAAAGTGAAATTACACAGTATTTGTCTTTTTGTAACTGATTTATTTTGCACAGCATAATGTCCTCAAGCTTCATTCATGCTGTAGCGTGAGTCAGAATTTTCTTCCTTTTTAAGGCTTGGTGAAACCTCATCACACGTACATACCACATTTTGTTGATCCACCATTTCTCAATAGACACTGGGTTATTTCCAGTTTATTCTGAATAATGCTACTATGTACATAATATGCAAGTATCTCTTCAAGACTCTACTTTCAGACCATCTGGGCATATACCCAGAAGAGGAATGGCTAAGTCACACGGTAATTCTCTTTTTAATTTTTTGAAGACCCACCATACTGTTTTCCATAGCACCTGCACCATTTTACATTCCCACCAACAGGGCACAAGATGCCCTATTTTTCCACGACCTAGCTGACACTTGAAATTTTCTGTTGCTTTTTTTTTTCTTAATAGTAGCCATCATATTATGTGTGAAGCAATGTCTCATTGTTGTTTTGATTTGTATTTCCCTAATGATTAGTAGTGATAAGTACATGAAAGATTCCTTACATCACTAATGAGTAGGGCTATCTAGTATGTTAGAATGAGAGAAAATGTATAGAAATAAAAAGTATTAGATTTATTTAGCAATAAACACACAGAAAACAAAATGAACAAATAGAAAACAAGTATTAACTTTGTGTGAAAATGTTGTTCTGGAAAATAAAAATAATGATAGTATACTATGTGGTTCAGGTGTAAATAAGTTTCAGTGGTTACAATGAGGTAAACCCTGACCACTGATCTAAATACAATTAAAATCTGATTATTTGGGGAGGATTATGGTGTTGGAATCTTTCATGTAGTAGTGGAGATAGGAAGATAGAAGGAAAGAAAACTAACAAAGAGATAAATCCTCATCTTTCACAATGAGAAGTTAACTGATCATGACAGCTGCGGAAAAGTAAATACATAAAAAAAAAGAGCAAGAAAATAAAAAAATGAAAAATACATAGTTAGCAAAATAAAAAGCATAAAGTAAGATGGTAGGACACAATAAAACTGATCCATTCTAACAATCTAAGTCAATGAAGTAAACTCGGTGAAAAAACAAACATTGTCAGACTAAATTTTTTTTTCA
The DNA here is from genome assembly GCF_000001405.40 of Homo sapiens. Lineage (NCBI taxonomy): Eukaryota > Metazoa > Chordata > Mammalia > Primates > Hominidae > Homo > Homo sapiens. The sequence goes on along the minus strand of NW_025791774.1, from coordinate 51,003 downwards.
GCTATTAGTGGTTTATTTGCTTCAGTACCATATTTAATTTTTTTATTTTAGTTTTCCTTTATTTCTTCTAAAAAAAAAAAAGGGATACACGTACAAGAATGTGCAGGTTTGTTACATGGGTATACGTGTGCCATGGTGGTTTGCTGCACCTATTGACCTGTACTCTAAGTTCCCTCCCCTCACCCCCACCCCCCAACAGGCCCTGGTGTGTGCTGTTCCTCGCTCTGTGTCCATGTGTTCTCATTGTTCAGCTCCCACTTAGGAGTGAGAACATGCATTGTTTGTTAAATTTTAAAAATCCAATGATATGCTATTTACTATACTCACACTTTGAAAACATGGAGATATAAGAAAATCAAAAGTCAAAATATGATACTCTGCCCCTCCACCAAATAAAACAGCATTAAAAAAGACTTAAAAAGCAGCACTAGAGAGAACATGGGTCACTACATAATGATAAAACTATTTTAAATATACATGCACCTGAGAATATGGCTTCAAAATATGTGAAGCAAAAATTGACATAACTGAAAAAAAGTTGTCAAATCCACCTCCAAAATGGGAGGATTTAACTAACCCCTTTCTCAGCCACTGAAAAGAGTCAGACATTAACAGATTTGATCTAATTGATATACATAACATTGCAAAATAACAAACACTATAATTGAAGAATACATACTTTTCAAGCAGACAAAAAACACTATGAAAGTTGTGCACAAATTGTTCCGTAAATAAACTCTTCATAAATTTCAAGTTTGAGGAAATACAGATAACAATTTCTGACCAATTAAGTTAGAATTCAATAAATAAAGATAATTAGGAAACCCCAAAAGTTCAGAAATATGAAAATGCACACAGGAAGAACTTAAGGGAAAAAAAGGAATAAATAATAGTAGTTACCAAAAATATAATAAAAACTAAATAACACAAAATATTAAAACATTGTGTCATCTGGTTTAAGTGGTACTTAAATAGAAAGCCTTGACAAAACAGAAAGCCTTAATGTATGTATTAGAAAACAAGCAAACTTCAACGTTATTGAGCTAATCACGTAAGAGAGGAAGAGGAAGAGGAAAAATAGAAGGAAGAGAAAGATGGTAAAGAAAACAGAAGGAGAAACTAAGAAACAGAAAGAGAAAAACTAAGGTAAGATTAGAAATAATAAGATAGAAAAAAAAACTCAGGGGAACGCCCCGGTGGAGAAGCTGAGGTCAACATCAGATTTGAAATATTTAAAGTGGATACAAAACTATTTCAGCAATGCAGACAATTAAGTGTGTTGTTGTGGGCGATGGTGCTGTTAGTAAAACATGTCTCCTGATATCCTACACAACAAACAAATTTCCATCGGAATATGTACCGACTGTTTTTGACAACTATGCAGTCACAGTTATGATTGGTGGAGAACCATATACTCTTGGACTTTTTGATACTGCAGGGCAAGAGGATTATGACAGATTACGACCGCTGAGTTATCCACAAACAGATGTATTTCTAGTCTGTTTTTCAGTGGTCTCTCCATCTTCATTTGAAAATGTGAAAGAAAAGTGGGTGCCTGAGATAACTCACCACTGTCCAAAGACTCCTTTTTTGCTTGTTGGGACTCAAATTGATCTCAGAGATGACCCCTCTACTATTGAGAAACCTGCCAAGAACAAACAGAAGCCTATCACTCCAGAGACTGCTGAAAAGCTGGCCCGTGACCTGAAGGCTGTCAAGTATGTGGAGTGTTCTGCACTTACAAAGAAAGGCCTAAAGAATGTATTTGACGAAGCAATATTGGCTGCCCTGGAGCCTCCAGAACCGAAAAAGAGCCGCAGGTGTGTGCTGCTATGAACATCTCTCCAGAGCCCTTTCTGCACAGCTGGTGTCGGCATCATACTAAAAGCAATGTTTAAATCAAACTAAAGATTAAAAATTAAAATTCGTTTTTCCAATAATGACAAATGCCCTGCACCTACCCACATGCACTCGTGTGAGACAAGGCCCATAGGTATGGCCCCCCCTTCCCCCTCCCAGTACTAGTTAATTTTGAGTAATTGTATTGTCAGAAAAGTGATTAGTACTAGTTTTTTTTTTGTTGTTTCAAAAAAAATTTTTTTGTGTGTGTTTTTTTGTTTGTTTGTTTTGTTTAAAAGCAAGGCATGCTTATGGATGACTCTGTAACAGACTAATTGGAATTGTTGAAGCTGCTCCCTGGTTCCACTCTGGAGAGTAATCTGGGACATCTTAGTGTTTTGTTTTGTTTTTTTTCCCTCCTCTTTTTTTGGGGGGGAGTGTGTGTGGGGTTTGTTTTTTAGTCTTGTTTTTTTAATTCATTAACCAGTGGTTAGCCCTTAAGGGGAGGAGGACGGATTGATTCCACATTCCATTTCCTAGATCTAGTTTAGAAAACATGTTCCCCATCTGGTGCTCTTAGGAAGGAGTATAGTAAATGCCTCATTTAATAACATACTCCTTTTTGAAAGTTGCCTTTTCTCTCCACCCTTGAGTAGATCCAGTATTTGATGAAACTCATGAAAGTGGGTGGAGCCCGTCTTGCCCCTCCTCTTTTCTAGGACGCACTATATGTGACTGTGACTTTCAAGGACATTTGTTTGCCATTTGCTGATTTTTTTGGGAAGTTAATTTCTAACTTCTTTCACTGATAAATGAAGAAAAGTATTGCACCTTTGAAATGCACCAAGTAATTTCTAACTTCTTTCACTGATAAATGAAGAAAAGTATTGCACCTTTGAAATGCACCAAATGAATTGAGTTTGTAATTAAAAAAATTTTTTTCCCTTTCAAAAAAAAACCAAAAAAAAAAAAAAACAAAAAAAACTCAGGATAGAGATTAACAGAAGCAGATGGTTTTTAAAAAAAAGTCTAAGAAAATAGAAACTCATCTGAGGTGTGTATGTATTTAAATGAGGAGGTAAAAATAAATGTTAGAAATGCAAAGGGGAACATAGCTAAAGAAGCTGCAGAGGTTAAACTGACAGCATCTATATGTTATTTTAAAAACTTTATAAAATACATTTGAAAAGTTAGATGGAAATGACAAATCTAGAAAATTATAACTTACCAAGGTTGGCTCAAATAGAAATGAAAAACTTGAAATTAAATCAGTAGTTACTAATTATTGGTAGTAAAATCTTCCACAAAGAAAATGCCAGACCAGTTGGTTTTACAACTGAGTTCCAACAATCATTTAAAAAATGAAACAAACAAAAAATTCTACTCTTGTGCAAATTCTCCCAGAAAATAAGAAAGAAAAAAATATTCTCTTCATTTTATGTGACTAGTATAATCTTGATACCAAACCAGAAAATGGTACTACAATAAAGGAAAAAGCATAAGCCAATCTCACTCATTAACACAGTTGCAAATGTGCTAAATAAAATAACAGGTTGCCAAATTGAACAGGTATAAAAAAGAATGTTTTACAAATCTGAGTTATAGTCCAGGTATACAAGACTAGTTTATCATTAGAAAATTCATTAATGTAATTAAACACTGATTAATGGATAGAAATCCGTGTGGTCATCTCAATACATACAAATGTTAACATCATATATGTATACATGAATAAAAGTGTTAGTAAATTGGAAATAAAAGGCAATCTCCCTATTGTAGTAACTAATAGTTACAAAAAACCTACATGCTAAAAAACATTCTTTTTAAGATCAAGAAAAAGTCAAGGATGTCTGCTATAATCAATTCTATTCAACATTACATAAGGTTTGTTAATTAGAGGTACACTGAAATAAAACTAACTAAATAATATAAGCCCCAGAGAGGAAAAAACAAAACAAAACAAAACAATCATTTGTTAACTGTAAGATTACCTATGTAAAACCTCCAAAAAAATGTAAGGATGAATTATAAGAATAAGGGTTTACATCAATGACAGACTGGATCAAGAAAATATGGTACATATACAACATGGAATACTATGCAGCCACAAAAAGGAAAGAGATCATGTCCTTTACAGAGACATGGATGGAGCTGGAAGCCATTATCCTCAGCAAACTAACACAGGAACAGAAAACCAACGCCACATGTTCTCACTTGTAAGTGGGAGCAGAACAGTGTGAACATATAGACACAGGGAGGGAAACAACACACACTCAGGGACCTAACTGGGGCAGGGGATATGGGGGGGAGGGAGAGCATCAGGAAAAATAGCTAATGCATGTGGGGCTTAACACCTAGGTGATGGATTGATAGGTGCAGCAAAACACCATGGCATGTGTTTACCTATGTAACAAACCTGCACATCCTGCACATGTACCCCAGAACTTAAAATAAAATAAATTAAAATAGAATAAAATTTATAGAGTTTAGCTCAGTAAACTTGCTTGATACAAAATTAATAAAGGACAATGCATTCTATACAAAGTAACAGTTATAAAATATAACATTTATATAAATAGCAGCAAAAATACCTAAATGTATATATAATAAAGTGTAAGCATGTTGTCTAGAAAATTATAAAATTTTATTGAAAGATAAGAAAGGAAGTAAAATTTTCTTTCAAGAATATCTAAATATTTGTTTATGGAATATCATGTTTATGAATACAAAGATTCAATGTCATCCAGATTCTGAATCTCTTAATAGTGATCTATAAATGCTATGCAATTCCAACCCGTCCTAACAGTTTTTTAAAGGAATTTAGTAAGTTGATTTTAAAATCTGTATGAAATATAAATGGGCCAAGAGTATTTAAAATCTCTCAAAAAAATATTGTATGAAACTTATCTTAAAATATACTAAGATTTAGAACAAATTTATAATAAGTAGCTTAGCGTGGCACTGGCATAGGCCCACATAAATAGATCAATGGACTTAATAGAGACCCCAGAATAATACCATGCATATTCAATATAAAAAATTCAATATACAAAAGAGATGGCATTCTAGTCAGTAAAGAGGGACTTTTCAGTAAATAATGCTGGGAAAATTGATTTATATATTTTTTCGTGAAAATGGATGCCTACTCACTACACATATACACAATAAACAGGTGGATTAAATAGGAAAACTCTAAAATGTTTAGAAGACAACACAGAATATTTTTGTAACCTCAGGTTAGAGAATAAGATCTTTAAAAGACTCAAAGAGCTTAGACCTAAAGGGGGAGAACTCAGAAATTCAACTGCATTAAGAAATAGTATTTACAAAAAGAAATCATTAAGGAAATTAAAATGCAAGGCACAAAGTAAGAGGATATATATGCTACATACATGACTAATAATGAACTTTTATCTGGAACACATAAAGAACTCCTAAAAATGAATACAAAAGACCTGAATGTCTTCTCCCTGCCAAGATGTAGTAACAGGGTCTAGATTTACTCTCTCACCTAAAACAATTGAAAACCAAACAAAATATAGGACACAGTGAAATTGAAGACATTTGGCCTCAGACAACAAAGAACAGGGATCATCCACAGCCAGGGAACAAATGAGCCCTACAACTGCTCCATCGTGTTACCTTGTGAAGTTTCCAGGACACAGCACAGAGAGGACAAACCCACAGTCTGGCAGACTTCTTAAGCTGAGGAGACAAAGCTGAGGACCCAGGGAGACCAAGATGTCTAGAATTCTCAGGGCAGAGCACCAAAGAGGGAAAGAGTTCCAAAGAGAGAACAAAAACCATAGAAGGTCGCACTTGAGCATGCAGAATACTTATCCAGGCACATGCGTGAAGAAACCATCTGAGTTTGATTGAAAAATCACCCGAAGGATTAGAGGTGACAGTACTCAGAACTCACATAGGAGTAGTGCCCTAATAATCCTAAATGTTTATCCATGAAATAACAGAGTTTCAACATACACGCAGCAAAAACTTACAGAACTGCAAGAAATCCGCAATTATATTTGAATATTTCCGTTAAAAAGGCCAACGAGACTACAGAAAAATTGATGAAAGATGTGAAGAATTTCTTCACAGAAGGGAAAACACATGGCTAGTAAACATTTCTTTAAAAAGGTAAGAGAGTGTTAAAAATTTGGAAAATGCAAATGAAAGCCACAATGAGACACCATTCTACACCTACACAATTGGCACACATTTAAAAGTCGGGCAGTATCCAGTGTAGGAGAGGTTGTTGCTCAGCAGAAATGTGTATACAGTGCTGGTGGGAGAACAGTATGGAAACATCTACTAAAATTAAAGAAGCACATACACCAAAACCGAGTAATTCACATACCATTGTATACCCTGTTTCTACAATGGACCAGGAGACATATATATCCATGAATGCAACAGTCAGTGAAAAAAAAGAAGAAGAAGAAAAAAAAAGAAAACCATTGAAAACAACCCAAATTTCCTTTGTTGGGACAATAAATCAATAAACTATAGCATATTTCTATAATGAAAGACTGTACAGGAGTAAGACTGAACTACTTCTCAGATCAATGTGCATAAATGTCCCAAATATAATGAGAGAGAAAAAGCAAGTTGCAAAAAATACACATAATACATTGCCATTTATATAGTGTCCCAAAGCATGTAAAATTAAATAATAAATTATCACACTATACATTCTCATGTAGCAAGACCATATAAGCAAAAAAATTGATAAATGCAAAATTCACTTTCCTGGATACCACTGGGCAGAGGGCTAGACAGACAATATTGAAGGAGGTTCTGGAAATGTGGGAGTAGGTAAATATCATTTTTAATACTATATACAGATATTATAAATATTATCTATTGTGTATCTAACAAAATCAATTTTATAATTTCATTGTTCATAGTAAAGGCCATTTATTGAGCACTAGTTTTCTGTCAACACTACACCAACAGCTTACTTCAACCATCCCATTGTTTCCCTCACTCTAACCCTTCAAAAATGCACTGTGATTATTCCAAATAAGTACAAAGGGAAACCAAGGCATGTAAATATTGAGTTGATTTCCCATGATCACATAGCTGATAACCGAACAGCAAAATGTGATACCCTTAGAGTCCTCCCTTATCAACACCAATAGATTAACCTCCTTGGAGACCATTACTAATACTTACAACTTAGGTGAGGTCTCATTAAGGGTCTCACAATCTAGTAGATATTATACAAAGAAATTCTTAGACTACATTAAGAGTTGTATTAAAACCTGTTTTAAAAAAAAACTGTGGGAAAATTAATGAACAGGCATTCAATAATTAATTCTGTTGTTGGGAGTCAGGTATACTTGCCCAAGAGAAAACATTTTAAGCCAGGGTGTTCAAAGATGAGTAAGAGTTCTCATCGAGGGAAAGCAAGTGCATACTTCAATGGCTGTGCTGGGGTGATTGGAGAAAGAAGGCATAGAGACCCAAACCAGACCAGTTAGCTATATTGCAATATGTTCGGCAAGAAATGACAAGATCCTGTGTTTTATTTTTAGTAATTTGGAAGAAAATAAAATTGTGTTTGAAATTATCCTATTAGAACATAGAAGGGATTTCCACAAAAAAGTAAAATACTGATATTTTATCAAATATCAAAGACTTCCCAGGTTGCAAAGGATTATGAAAAGAGCATAGGCTCTGGAGGCAGGCATAAATGAGTTTATGTCTTGTCTCTACCCCTTACTATTTACATGACCTCTCTGTGTGTAAAATAGGAAGATACTATCTACTTCATAGGGTTCTAGTAGTCAAAGCAAAAATGCTTAGTAGTGTGCATGGCAGATATTTAATAATATGTGCTCAAAATGTATTAGTTCTTTTCTCCTCCCTTAGGCTGAATGCAAATGACCAGTTGTTGTTTGTTTTTTTCTTCTCTCTGTGGCCTCCCTATTGATGCCAGAATGCACATGTAGAAAATACTGTTAATATTTGCATACTTGCCTGTGGTTAAGAATCAATGTCTTGGCTTGTATAACTTGGTCTGTAGGGCCCTCAGCTTCCTGATATAGAAAACACCATTACAAATGGTATCCTATCACTTTAACAATTGCCATAACAATGCCTTTGCGAGGTCACAGACCTAATAGACCCCTGCACAAAGGAAATCATGTCAAGTAAGAAATAAATAACTAAGGGGGATGGGGTACATGTATCTGTCTATCTGTCTGTTTATTCTTCCTTCCAAACCCAAAACTGACATCACCACATTGCCTCCTTTTGGCAGCATTTCTGACTCCCCACCATTATCACATCCTCCTCTGAACACCCACCCTGCAAATAACGCATAGTGCTAGAGTCTTTTTTTTTTTTTTTTTTTTGGAGATGGAGTCTTGCTCTGTCACCCAGGCTGGAGTGCAGTGGCATGTTCTCAGCTCACTGCAACGTCTGCCTCCGGGGTTCAAGCGATGCTGCTGCCTCAGCCTCCTGAGTAGCTGGGATTACAGGCACACACCACCACACCCAGGTAATTTTTGTATTTTTAGTAGAGATGGGGTTTCACCATGTTGGTCAGGCTGGTCTCAAACTCCTGACCTCGTGATCCACCTGCCTCGGCCTCCCAAAGTGCTGAGATTACAGGCGTCAGCCACCACGCCTGGCTGAGTCATTTTAAAAACATTTTTCTTTGGCCTCCTTTAGTTTGAGCTCTGTCAAAGCAGGGTCCATGTTTTACTGACCTGTCTGTGTCCCTCCAGTAGTAAGAATCATGTATCAAAATAGTGCACGCTCAGTAAAATGCTTTTTGTGGGGTGTGCTTCACATAAAATACGAATACTGCTGTTTACTGTCTCATTGCTTCACAGACACGTGCAGAAGTTATCTTTGTCGTGCTCGTAAGTAATTGAAAATTCTTTATTTGAAAGGTAAAATGTGACTAAAAGTTCAAGTCAATGCCCGTATAAGTTGTGATTTGGTGTTCTTTCAGAAGAAAATTTTGTTTATTTTTACAACTAACATTCATTAAGAGTATTACACATAAGTATGGTATGGAAAGCTTTGAGGCTGTGGTAAGCAAAGATGCCTTGATCTGCAAGCAGCACTCTGTGCCCTAAACTAATCCTGACAGGACAAGAGCCTCCAAAGTCACAAGGGAAACCACCACACCACATGGAAGCACATTTTATTATTAAGTCACAGGAGGATGGAAGTTTCCAGAAGGATCCCTCCAAGAAAAGAAAAAGAAACAAAGTTTCTGATGTGTTTGAGTAAATCAAGACGGAATTTACATTTCTGGCAGACAGTGGGCAAAAAATTAAGAAAAGGATCAAATAAAAGACAACAACAAAAACAAAGACAATTATTAACTCAGACCAAACAAAAACTCTACTGAAAAAAAATTAGTCTTAGGACATTAGTGGCTCAGTTGCGCACAATATTTACATTAAAAATGATGTAAGAACTGAGTCACAATTTAAACAAAATTTGTTAAATAACCAAATTAGAAAAATGGAGAAGAGAAAGTTTACTTTGTATAATGTTGTATTCAGACTAGAAAAAGAAAAAATTCATCGTATATAATAGGAAGTCAATGTCATGTTTTCAACTAGAAAAATCAAATAACTATATATGCATGTATTTACATAGAAGTAAATACAATTAAAAGTGTTGGCATTCAAGAACATAAGAAGTAGAGTGATAAAAAAGATGATGATTCTTTGCTATTGGGTGGTATGACTCTCAATGTTCTATTTCAATTTTTAAACCATACACATATATTACAGAGACAAAACTAAACATTCAGTTAGAAAAATAAAGATAACCACAAGAGAAGAGAACTCAGACTTTTAGATCCCAAAGTAGTGAGCACCTATTTGCAGTTCAGAGTGGTATGACATCCCTTGGAGGCATGTGGAAAGGAACAAGTGTTGTTTGGTTGTCCCAGTGACTGGGATGCTACTGATATTTAGTGGCACAGCCAATAATAAAGTGGAGAGCAGCCAACACAAACAAGAAACGGCCATGTTGAACGTCAACAGCACCTCTCCTAGGAAACACTGCACTAGATGGGAAAAAGAGTAAAGCAAAACATAATGACGGGGGAAAAGCTAGAAGAGAAGAAAATACAAAAGGAAACTATAGCATTAGAAAATATACCATAATAAAGACATATGCACACGTATGTTTATTGCGGCATTATTCACAATAGCAAAGACTTGGAACCAACCCAAATGTCCAACAATGATAGACTGGATTAAGAAAATGTGGCACATATACACCATGGAATACTATGCAGCCATAAAAAATGATGACTTCGTGTCCTTTGTAGGGACATGGATGAAATTGGAAATCATCATTCTCAGTAAACTATCCCAAGAACAAAAAACCAAGCACCGCATATTCTCACTCATAGGTGGGAATTGAACAATGAGAACACATGGACACAGGAAGGGGAACATCACACTCTGGGGACTGTTGTGGGGTGGGGGGAGGGGGGAGGGGGGAGGGATAGCATTGGGAGATATACCTAATGCTAGATGACGAGTTAGTGGGTGCAGCGCACCAGCATGGCACATGTATACATATGTAACTAACCTCCACATTGTGCACATGTACCCTAAAACTTAAAGTATAATAATAATAAACAAAAAAAATTAAAAAAATAAAAATAAAAATAAAAACCAAAAAAAAACACAGAAAATATACCATAATAATACGGCCAAAAGAAGTTGAAACATATTGGTAAGCACAAAAATTACCAATTCATTAAATATTCCTGTTTGAACAAAGGTAAGGGTTAAGAGAAAAAAGTATTTACCGTGCAAATATTTTTAAAAAGTACAATTAGCAATATTAATATTTTAAATTAATACAATTAGAAAGCATTAAATTGAATGAGTAGTAATATTTTCACATTAAAAGTTACAGTGTACTAAAACTATATAGAATAACTTTTATGCATCTAACAATCGAGTTTTGAAATCTACAGATAAAAACCTCCCTAGATGCAGGAATATGTTGAAAACTGCACTAACACAATGAGAGAGTTTCTCTCAGAAACTGACAAAGAAAAAGATAATTTGATTAAAATAGTTTGTAAAGTTATTCTCCATGGTACACACGTATGTGTATATATGTCTATGTATATTTATATGTGTATGCATGTGTATACAAATGATATACCCACACGTATGAAAGAATGAGACAGAAATTCATACTCAACAATAAAATTATTTTCAAACACCCATATACAATTCATACAGGCTACACATATGTGTATATATGTCTATGTATATTTTTATGTGATGTATGCATATACACATATACAAATGACATACACACATGGAAGAATAAGAGAGACAGAAATCCATACTCAACAACAATAAAATTATTGTAAAATTGTATGGTACACACATGTGTATATATGTCTTTGTATATTTATATGTGTATGTATGCGTATACACACATACAAATGATACACATATACATATGAAAGAATGAGAGAGACAGAAATTCATACTCAACAATAACAATAAAATTACTTTCACTCATATATAATTCATACAGGCTACATTATCTGACAACCAATCAGAAGAGAGGGAAAAAAAGAAGAGCAGGAAGGAAAAACAAAAGAAAAGTAGGAAGGAGAGAAGAGAGCGAGAGGAAAGGAGAAAAGAGGAAGAAAGATTAACAATAAAAAAATAAGTCTACGTACCATCTTCTCCAATCTATGTGCTTGGAATTTTAAAAAACTCTGAAGTAAATCTTAGATTAAGCAGGAAATAAAAGCAAAATAATTTTAAGGAAAAATGTGTTACTAATGTTATTTTAAGAAAATAAACATCTTTAATGCAGCTAAATGCTTTAAAATGGACTTTTCCCAATTGGAGAGTTCACTGTCCAGATTTTCAGAAATTTCTACCTTAGAAAATAGATAAGAGTTTGGTTAGGCATATTGTGCCTGTTCGGTCGTCTCATTCACAAAGACACAGTGAAACCCTAAAATCAACTCAGCATTTCAAGAATCTTTACACCAGGAATGGTCCTAGACAAATGACATGATTAAAGATTTCTCTGTTAAGAAATAAAGCTCCCCAGTCCTTCTAAGACCAGTATCTCTAGGACTTGAGAAATAAATTACATTCCCAGGATAAAAGACTCAAGCTTAGTCATACTTGCTTTTATCTCACTGTGGAACTTAACATATGGAAGGAGTTGGAATTCAGTTTTGTCAGTAAGTTTAATTATTTCTTCAAAGTATGGGTGACTGGGTGACTGTGTGAAATTAGACAACTTACATAGTTACTTCATGAGATATAAGTGTCCAAACTCGTCTTAAATATTTTGAAAGTATTGACTTGGTGGACAACTATTCATTTAAGATTGGCCTTTCCCTGTTCTTCCTACCAGGACATTCCCTCCCACCACCCTCCCTAACTAACACACACACACACACACACACACAAACACACACACACACACACACACACAATCATATTCCCTCTGTAGACATAGCTATAACCTGTTTGTTTTTAAAAAGGATCACTAAAACAGACCAAACTGAAATAAATATTTATTAATTTAATGCATTATCTAAATAACTGGTTTCCTGACATTAAAAGAAATATAGACTAGATGGCTGAATGACTTTACTCTCTCTCTTCCTCTCTTTCTCTTTCTCTCTCTCTTCCTCTTTCTCTCTTCCTTTCTCTCTCTCTTTCCTCCATTTATTCACTTAAGTACTTAACAGTATTTAAGTGAGACTCTGAAATGAGATTTAGAAAACTGAGTTGAGATAAATCAAAACAACTCTAAGATGAATAATACTAAGAAATACTAAATACGTAAACTAGAATCATAGATATAACTAGTACAACATACATGTAACAGATGACAGAATGTCAACTACAGCACCAAGATAACAATTAGTGTTTTGGGTGCTGGTCTAAGCTGCAAACACAAATGCATTTTCCCAAACAGGGGTCACAACACCTGACTCTCTCACCCACATCAGCGGTGGAGATTAATGAGGATTTTCAAGAGGTATTTTCCTTGAACAGAACTCTCCGTGTAATGTGCGTTTCATGCCTCAAAGAAAAAGGGAGGATGATTACTTTCCTTTCACTTCAACCTAAAGGTGGACACTTGCTATGAATAGTGTTCCTTCAAAATTCATATGTTGAATTTCTAACCCACAATACCTTAGAATATGACTATATTTGGAGATAGGGCTTTTGGAGAGGGAACTAAGTTAAAAGGAGGCCACTAGGATGCGGCCCTAATCCAATATGAGTGGTGTACTTGTAAGAAGAGGAAGAGACAGCAGGGATGCAGGCATAGGACAAAGGCCATGTGAGGACAGCAAGAAGGTGGACGTCTGCCAGTCACGGAGACAGGCCTCCTGAGAAAACAAGCCTGCTAGCACGTTGATCTTGGACTTCCAGCCTCCAGAACTGTAAGAAAATAAATTTCGGTTGCTTAAGCTTCCCAATCTGTGGTATCTCGCTAGAGCAGCCCTGGAAGACTAATTCAGCACTCAAATGAACTACTCACAGGTCATGGTATGAGTCCCTTCAGTTAAAGGAATATGATGAATTGGAGTCTTAACTTCTACTGAATGAATCAAGAACCCAGGAAGAGAACAAGAGGAAAGAAACAAAGATGATGAAAGAAAGAAGAAGCAAAGGAAAACTGAAGCTGGGTTGGGATCTTCCTGCAGCCCTAGAGACTGAGAAAAGGATGTGCTTATGTTTCCCCTGGACAAGACACGGCACAGGTGAAGGAGTAAGCACAGTGATGCCTTAGCATCTCTCCAAGGAGGCCTACAAAGGCAAACAGAGTTTGTATTCATGTCTTACTGCTGCTGTAACAAATCACTACACACTTGATGACTACGGACAATTCAAATGTATTCTTTCATAGTTGTAGAGCCCAGAAGTCTGAAATCAGGATGTTGGCGGAGTTGGATCCTTCTGCAGTCACTGAAGTAAGCACTTATCCCATGCCTCTTTTCCATTTGCTGCTGCAATTCTTGGCATTTCTTGGCTGCTTGATGCATCACTCCAGTCTCTGCTGTTGTCTTCTGATGTCCTTCCCCCTTGTGTCTCTGTGTCTTCTTTTTTTCTGTCTCTCATAAGGGACACTTATTGAATTTAGGGCTCCTTCTAAATCCAGGGTAATTTCATCTCGAGATCTTTATCTTAATTATATCTGCAAAAATCCTATTTCCAAAGAAGGTCACTTTCACGGAGAGCAAGGGTTAAGACTCAGACATATCTTGTGGGGGTGGCTGCTCAGACCACTGCAGACCTCAACAAATGGAAGCTAGGGTAAATGGCTAGATGCCCACAGGACAGAGAAAGTGATGAACTGAAGAACACAGCATCACCTGCATCTAAGATACTAGAGTACTTCTCAGCAGTGGGCCACACAAATGTCTGTAAGAAAAAGAATCAACTCTAAATATCTACCGAAATCAGAGCATGTGATGCCACCTTAAGAACTTTCCATTTTATTACCTCTCCGGCAACTAGGTCAGAAACCATGGTAAACAGGCAGAAATAAGAGGAGGCAGAGAAAGAACCACGGCCTTGCTCCCTCTTCCAATAGAGCTAAGAAAGACTTAATTCTAAATTCAATTTGGAATTTTAACTACTTCATAGTCAGATTATTCTAAGCATCAAAATTAGACGGTATTTTGCAATTTAAAGTGTCCATATGCATCAGCCAGGGTCCTAGCAGGAAACAGACAGCACTCAGACTGGGTTATTGAGGAAAGCTTTAAAAAAAGACTGTTTACGATGGTGTGAGCAGGGTTCAAGGAAAGCAACAAGGAATAGTGCAGTACCTCAGGGCTTGCAACAGCAGGAAGTCATTGCTGCCCATGAAGGGGCTGGGGTAGAATTGGTTTACAAAACCTGCAGAGAGTAGCAGTTTGCCAAAGGCTGCCTAGCACGAGAGGAGGCATTAGTCGAGGGACACAGCCAACCCACTGCAGTCCAGCAGGAAGGAAACCAGCAGGGTAAAGACTTCGGTTTCTCTCCTCCCACTTACCTTCCCATCTCTTGCTAATGTTTCCCATTGATCAAGTCCAAATGGAAGATAAAGGACAATGGAGTCCATTGATGCCAACCCACATGGGTTGGCCCAGAGCAAGGAAAAGTAGAGACTGGATATGGATAGGCAAATAGAAAATATCCAGTACACAATAAAATTTAAGGTGACCAGAGAAATAGAACCTACCTACGTTTTCTTCTAAATGGAAGGGAAGAGTTATCTCCACCAAGCAAGTGTAAAGGGACATTGGGAAACAGAAACAAAGTTCCTTTTATAAGGATTTCCTAAAAGTCTCATTTGTTGACTGAACCAGTATAATATATAACAGAATGTGATTATAATTTAACTACTGACCTGGTAATTTAGAGAAGTGATAAATTCTGACAGGAATATATCAGTCTTGGTTCTGGGACTTGTTCTTCTGGACTCCTGCCTTGCACTGGTGTTTATTTTCTTATGATCTTTTGCTACAAAGACTTCTCAAACCCCCTCTTCATTTATTTTCACTCTGTTTAAGACAGGCGACTTTTTACCATAGCTGCTTTTGCCTCTGCTATTCTACAGCAATTATTCTTTTATCTTTCAATTAAGCCTCCTTGCATTCAGTCATTTATGCATTGAATCACGCTATCTAGTGAAAGACACTTTGCTCTGTCTTTGCAACAAAACCTCGACTCTTCTTTCCATCCATCAGAGCATTGCTAAGGAATACTAAATATGTAAACTAGAAACGTAGATATAACTAGTACAACATACATGTAACAGATGACAAAATAGAATGTCAACTACAGCACCAAGATAACAATTAGTGTTTTGGGTGCTGGTCTAAGCTGCAACATAGAGACTGGATATGGATAGGCAAATCCATCCATCTATGTTGGTTTCAGCTTCTGATCACTCTAAGTTGGTTTCAGCTTCTGACTGTCACTGTGCTAAACTGAGCTCCATTTGGAAGGATGGAATGGTATAGTGGAAAAAAACATCATGATAGTAATAGTAGCTATCATTTATTGAGCCCTTATAATGGGGTAAGCACTGTGCTAAGCACTTTACATGCTTCATAACTACTCATGTTCCCTCCCTTCCATTTAAATACGAGGAATCTGAAGTTTCCTTGAGTTCAAGGATTTAGAGAAGGTCATAGATCTAGCAGTCGGCAGAACTAAAATTGTAAGTCAGATGTGACTGAACAAAGTCTGTGCTCTCCAGCCTTTCAATCAGTATTTTCCATACATTAATTCACCTCTGTAGCTTACTATATCTGTGACCTTAGGAAATTCACTCAACCTCCCTGTGCCTCAGTTTCCTCATATGTAAAATGAGAATGAGGATAACACCTGGTCTTCCTGTTTCCCAAAGTTACTGAGAAAATTTGTTGAATTTAAAACTGACTTGCTGGGGGGCAGTACATAAATGTTATTGTTAATTAACAGTTTTTATACCTACTATACTAGGCTATATTTGCTCATGGGCTGCCTCCCCTTAGAACAGACCTCAGAGTAACTAGTCCTTGAGGGAACCGACCCTTATCTAGCTAGTCTACCGACGACTGCAGTCCTGGTTTCTTTTTCTAGACTAGCTGGCGGCCTGGCTGCAATGCCTCGCCAGCCCAGTGATCTCTCAGACCTGTGGGTGTGCCCACTGAATCTTGCCCATACATCTCTGTGTTTCTTCTGATGCGTGTAGTCAGTCATGACTCTGGGCTCTAAGAACCTTGAGAAGGACATTCATCCTGTTCCAGAGCTTTTGGACAGGAGAGAATGACTCCTGTACAAAAATGTACTGCAAAATCTGTCCCCAAGGGCGGCAAGTATTTTTCTCAGCAGACGTTTTTTTCTGTTTCTCTTTTAAAAAAAAATAAAGTTGTCTTATTACATAACTGTAGGACAAGAGTTCAAACATTAATGCTGAAAATGCAAAAGGTGCCCTACATTCAAACCTCTGTTGCCCAGAAGAAGCACCCTTTGCAACACCTAAATCCTTTAACTCTTTCATCCCTCTGCTACATGAACATTACAAAGTTCTATTGATCCGTAACTTCTTGGTGACGTCATGTGAAACATAAAATACCCTAAGAAACCTCAACTCCTAGAAATCTGCCTGGCTTGATTGCAAAAGCAAAAGAATTCGAGAATTTTATAAGCACTAACTCAATTTTCATTATTTTCTTATCATTCATAAGTCAAAGATTTTCTTTGTACAAACAATTAAGCACAAAAATTGACTCCCCGAATCTATTCTATGAACTAGGCACGGTAGATTGATTCTGTTTGTCAGTTAAATATGAACATCTTATTTAAAATAACTCCATTTTGATATATGTTTTCTAGAATACATATATAAATTTTACATTCATGGAAATGGGCTAATTCCATCCTCTTTTGACTAATGAATATCATAGGCATTAGGGGCAATTGTATCTTTCTTTTACCATTTCAACTAATATTTATGAGGCACTACAGTGCTGTAGATACTGAGGCATAATTCTGAGGTTTAAATCCTAGTTTCTATTTCTCAAGAGAAGAAAGAAGGGCTGCGAACAGGTAGATTTGAAGAACTGTGTATGAAGAGATATGGGTTATATCCTGATATTAGCACCTGAAAAAATTATTCTAAACCCATCAACTAAAGAGGCAAGAATTCTTGACTTGCCTAAGCAGGAATGTGGGTTTGTGGAGTTTTTTCTGTAATTCCAAAAAAAATTTTACATCTTCCACATACTAATTCACCCTGGACAACTTTACTTCTTTGAGTCTGTGTCCTCCTCTATAAAAAGAGAATAATTATCTCCACCTCGCAAAGTTTTTGTAAGGACATGTGTACAACGTCCGGCATAGTGACTGGCAAGTAATAGTTGCTTTTTTTAAAAGGTAGCTATTGTTGTTATTATTCTCATCATTACCATGATGGTGGGCTTTTTCTACGTGCAATTTTTATATTTTCAAATATCTTATTAAACTTGCAGTATATTTTGATCCATGCAATATATCCAAATGCATTTAATGACAGGCTATGTCAAAAAGCAACTCTGGTATAGTTTTTGTCTTTTAGAAAAATGCTGTTCAGAATCAATGTATCATAGAAATTAAAAGCCCAACTTGAGATATTATTGTGTCATAGTCCATTGCTTGAGAACAGAACCATCCATCCTCCACGGACAGGTCTGCGCTTGGTACAGATGGGTTGCACTAGATTTGTATGTGCTATAAGTTTTGTTATACTTGAAATGGTTAATTAGAAGAAGTAGGGGAATCTGAAATGTCACAGCAAGTTCTTCTTGGCCCACTGTCACGTTTCATGAATTCTTTTGCTGAACCCATCTGGATTAAGCAGTGACCCAATCCAAACAAATTGCTTTTGTGCCTCTTATCTCCTATACCTATTTATGTTCCAATACATCTGCATGGTGTGGCTCAGTAAGATCCATTAAGTCCTTGGGCAGTGTTTATGGCTAACTTTTTTCTTCTTTGAGGCTCTGATCTCTCACAATAATGTGACAGAAAACTACCGTGCAAGAGTAAGTAAAATACTTTTTTAGAAGAAAGGGAAAGAAGTATAACATATACAATTTCAATCTGGGAACTCTCTGAGCAACCTTTTGGATGAGAGACAATCATTTCTTGTAGATTTTAGGTAAAGATATAATTTACCTTTATTTGCAGACACAAAACTCTAAGAAAACATTACTTGCCATCAAAGCCTCTGGCTTTAAAAATATTTATGAGGTTGAAATAGTTACCTGGAGGCAGACATTTCATTTCAATGTCATAGGTCAGGCACATTGGCTAACACCCCAGATAATATTGATGTACCTTCAAATTTTAAAATAATATTTATACCATTTATTTATTTATTCACATATAGAGCACCCATCCTGAAGTATCTGGGACACTGAACAAGGTTTACATAAATCTAACTGTTTTTTCCTCTGGGCCATTTGGCTCAGTCTGGTAGACCATAAATATTCAATAATACTTTACAATGACAAAGCATCTTTTATGCAAACATCTCTAAGCACATTATTCACTAATATTACAATCTCCTTTTTAACCTACTGGTAAAGTCACGGAAACTAATTGACTTTCTTCAAGGTCCCAGCACAAATTGTTTATTTTGTAGATTAGAGTCCAGGTGTTCCGATTCTAGTTATAACTAAAGGGAGAAACAAACAAACAAACACATTTTTTAGGTGCTTAAGCTGATGACCTACACTAAATATTTCTAAATTGAATCTATTAGGCAAGACGTCTTCCTTAAAGATGCTAAATGTTGTGATGCATCCAACTGAGTTTTATAACTTTTGTTCTCATTTGCCTAAGGCCAGTTACCATTTTCAGAGCCCCAAGAATGACCTAGTTTAATTGAATCCTGTTTCAAACACTTAAACTTTCACACTCTAATCAAATCAGGTTTCTAAATAGAAAAAGTTGGAACAAGAAAATAAAACTTGTCGTGGCAAGGTGCTGTTGACGTAATAGCAGAGCTGTACCAGAATATTCATGCAAATTAAAAAGCTAAACAGTTACTGTGAGATTTGGGCAAGTTTCAAAGAGTTAATGCTACCCAAGCAAAAGGAAATATTTTTAATTATTTATTTTACTTCTTCCCTCAAATATTAAATGCAGGTTACATATAGATAATTAATAAAATACCAAAAAATGGGATATTTTTTAATCACCCACAATTTTGTCTGTGACACCTATAGAAACACACTACAAAACCTACCTCCAAGCTCAGGGAGCATAACTGACTGAGCCTTCAGCCACTGAGCACTGAAACATGTCACAGCATTTCTACTGACACCACAGTTCCCCAGGCTGATCTCAGTCAATGCTGAGTGTGGCAAAGCTAAGAAAGTAGGCCTGTTCGTGGAGGATGTGCGACTCTTCTGACAGGTGACTTTGGATCAAGGACTCTCCAAAGATCCTGATGAACTTCCCTTTGAATTGCACTGTAGTCTAAATGGTTCACCCCAACTCCCTTTCTTCCTTTACTCTCTCCTTTGCTTGTCAGACATGCATGATAGCCTTTCCTGGCTCCCTCCCCATTTTCCCTGATGTTCATTTCCCTGAATAAATTTCTTGCACGTTCAATATCATCTTGGTATCTGTTTCTCAGAGGATCCAAACTAACATGCCACCTGATGGCAACAATGATGAAGACGATGAGAAGGATGATGATGATGATGATGATGATGATGATAACGGTGGTGGTAATAGTGGTGATAAAAATTATGATGGTAAAGGTTAGCATTTATTGAAGTCCTGTTTTAAAAGCCAAGCCCTGTGTTAAGAGACTGCCTAAATTATTTTATGCTGCCAATAAACTCCAATAAACTGCCAATAGGTGTTACTAACCTGAGAAAAGTAAGCCTTAAAGATACTAAACAAGAACAAGACCACATTACTTTTGAATATAAGAAGTCAAATTTGGAATTTTGGTTTTCTTATTTGAAATTTTGGTCTTCAATAGAGTGTAGAATCACTGGTACTAAAAACCACCAGTTTATATTACCTCTCTGTATTAGTATTTTGCAGTATAATCGTCCAGTTGTTTTTCTGGATAGTTATTCTATAATTACAGTTAACTCAAAACACAGAAGTAATAAGTAAAACCTATTTTACAAGAAATTGAACTGTGATCTTATTTTGGGTTTTGTCGATTTTTTTCCTTAGACTTGGGGAAAATATTTGCTTCTTTGTTACATGGGTATTGCATACATAATGGTGGGAGTTGAGCTTCTAGTGTACCCATCAACCAAATATTGAAGATTGCACCCAATAGGTAATTTTTTAACCCTTATCCCACCCCACCTCCCAGAAATTGAATTTTTACTTGAAGCTTTTGGTTCTTCTAAAATTTGCAGTTATCAACTTCACTTTGATTGTATAGACCTAATACAATCATTCGAATACTATTAGTAAACTTATTCTAATAAAGTATTTTCAGATTTGTATCATATATCAAGAGCCACTATATCAACTCTGTATAGTTTGGAGGAATTTTTCCAGATCATTAAAACAGACAAAGGTCAAGCAAATAAGCCAAGACCAAGCAACTTAGACAATTGATATCATTAAAGCATCTAAAATAACAATGCCTAGTCTCCAGTTTTAGAATTTATTGGCACTATTAAATAGACCACTTAATAATAAACCAATGGGCTTTTTCAAAATGAAAAAATTGGTACAATGAAATGCACTTAAAAAGATTTACATCCCATAGCATAGCATATTTCTAAGAAGGAACATTGGCTTGGAACTTGTAGCAGCTTATTAAATTAAGAACAGAACTCTGGTGGAAGCAATGCCATTTAGGATAATTTGAGATTCCTTTGACTCAAAAATAAATTGACTTTCCTGAAGGTACCTCGGGAATTATTGGGTCGGTCTTTAGTCCTGGCAGATTTCTTCTGGTGTATCAACATGGCTCCCTGAATGCAGTTTTCTGAAATTTTCATGCTAAACACTGATAAAAGTAGCTACATATGGTTAATCCTGCATATCTGACAATAGATTGTCAGCATAAAGAAGGGTTCCATCGGCAATGATCAAAAAGACCTTGTTAGATTTGCTTGAAAACCTGGCTTTGCCACGTCAAAACACATTTAAAAACCACCAGACTAGAAATGTTCTAAAGTTATTTCTCAGTCATTCTAAGGTTCTGTAAGAATGTCAGTTCTGTGTGGGTTTCCCCTGAGACTTTTCAATTCTTCTACAGAACTTAATCCAAACATTGCAACCTTGCTCATCTTTGCTTCTCTTCTTGTTTCCCTCTATCACCCTCTTTCAAGCATTCTCTTTCATTATGACTTTCACCATCAGCTGTGGTTTTCTAACAGAAAATCCAACCTGAAATGGAGACAGAAATTTTCAGTTGCCTCCCAGACAATTTTCTATAAATACCCTAAGGAATCTCAAATGAAATTGAAGCTGTTAAATTTCTACCACACAACCTCCAAGTCTGCTCCTTCTCTAGTGTTTTACTTCTCTTCATGGCATCCTCAGCCAGCCAGTTACCTAAACCATAATCACAAAAGTCACCTTAGTCTTCCTCCTATTTCCTTTATGCCCTAAATTGCATTTATGAACATATCCTTTTGGTTTTCCCTCAATGTTTTTTTACTCTTTTTTTCTCCATTCTGTTCCTGACACCCAAATTCAGGTCTTCATCATCATCTGCCTCATCTATGGCAATAACCCGACAACTTTTCCCCAGCTCCGTATCTCCTTCTTTCGGTTTATTCTCCACACTGCCATCAAAACTCTTTCAAATATACAGACCTGACTGTATTACACCCTTTGACTAAGTATATTTTATGGCTGTCAAATAGCTAATGCACATGATGCTAATACTAATTCCTTAGCCTAGCAGTTTACGTGCATCACGACATAAGGCTTCAGGTTCTGCCATTAACCCCGTCATCAGAAAACACAGCCTATGGCAGGCTTTATCAAAGCATGAGCAATCTACAAAACAATCATATAGGCACTTACAAAAAATATAAATTCCTGGCCCTCATCTGTGAATACTGTTATTATAGTTTCATATGAGGCCCCCAATCTACATTTTAATTAGAACTCCAAGTGATTCGAATACATCCTAAAGTATTAGAATTCTAACTCATGTGCCTACTTAACTGTACATGACTACACCATTCCAAAAATACAACAGAAGTATTTATACTTTTATGTCTCATGTCAAAATATTTTTTCTGCTAATATGCCCTTTCTTGTGTCTTTTCCTGGAAACAAAACAAAACAGAAAACATGTCTTCATAAAACCCAATTTAGATACCACAAGTAATCTCACACACTTTATTATTATTATTATTATTATTATTATTATTATTATTTTGAGATAGAGTCTCTCTCTGTTGACCAGGCTGGAAGCTAGAGTGCAATGGCATGATCTTGGTTTGCTGCAACCTCTGCCCTTCGGGTTTACTAGATTCTCCTGTCTCAGCCTCCCAAGTAGCTGGGATTACAGGAGCACACCACCATATCTGGCTAATTTTTTTCTGGGGTTTCACTATGTTAGACAGACTGGTCTTGAACTCCTGACCTCGTGATCTGCCTGCCTCAGCCTCCCAAAGTGCTGGGATTATAGGCATGAGCCACCACATCCGGCCTCACACACTTTATTCTTATTTCCCCATCCTGCCCACCTCTGCCGCAAAATACCCTTTTGTCTGTTCTATTGTTGGGGCTGTCACATCCTACTGTAGTCATGTACCTGCCTCTCTCCCCATCCAGAATGTCAGATTCAAGTGATCATTTTGTTCACCTTTATACTCCCAGGCTCTAGTAACCACAGTAGATAAATTTCTAATTGGGATTAACTACTAGCTACATAAAAAATAAAATGTAATTTAATTATTCACTTCATGCTAGGGAAGCCAGGTCTCCAAATACAACATGAGACAGAACTTTAAATTCTAGAGAACTTAATCCAGACATTGCAATCTTGCTCGTCTTTGCAGATGCGGATCTTTGGGATAGAACTTTTCTCAATCTTCTTACGTAATTTTCTCCAAGCATGAGAAAAGTCATCCAGCAACAAGCCAACCACATCACAGCTTTAGTATGGTGGTATCTGGTCTTTATTTCAGCCATGGAAAGAGTAGTAGGATGACCCTAGGGGGATATTTGGTCTCAGCTGTATAATATCTGTGCTGAGAACCTCTCAGTTCTCCCTTCATCAAACCACTCGGGAACAAGAATTTATGTGTGCCTACATTTGCCAAGTTCTCAGCACTATAAGGAACCAAAAGATGCACTAGAGTCCCCATTACCTCCATTACTGTATCCTGCTCTTCACACAAACGCAATAGGGAACGAGCAAAGCCGCTTTGTCATATTTCTCCCTGTGAAAGAACCTTAGTCTCCCACACTGTTACAGAGTGGCTGATGTGCAGCCCTAACCTGTGTCTGCAATCTAGTCCTGGATAATAACTTAAAAGATAAATGAAGTAATGGACCATCAAGAGAAAATGTTGCTTTTCCAAAGATCCCCAAGTATGCATCTGCATGATGGACTACAATGACTCCAAGGAAGATTATTGTCTTTAGAGTAAATAATACGCTTTTTTCCCCAAGTCTCAAAGCCTGTATTTAAATGATTATTCATAGGTGTTGTGGGAGACGTTAAGGCTGAGCTTGGCAATTCCCAACGTAAAAATGGGTAATGTTTCAAAAAACTTGTTTATGAGTCACCTGCCCAGAAACTCACCATTGCCTTTTACATTATGTTTCAAATTCCCAGGCAAACCCCCAAATCTATTTATCCTCATTACACACCTGAAGGGTATTTATTGACACCTACCCCCGTTTACAGCATTGTTCCATTGGGAAAATGTCCTCTCAGTTCCCAGTCAAATGGCATGCAAATACATTTCTACCTGCATTTGGAGGGGCATGGGGCATGGGGAAAGATGAAATAATGACAGGTGAATTTGATCATATATTCCCAGAAATCAGAATTCTGTTCATCTTATACATACATTTTTAAATGCCTGTCTCTAAATGATTATTGTTCACTAGGAGCAAAGAATTGCAGCCTCCACTATCAAGAGAGAGATTTTCAGAGTTTGGAAGTGGCTCCTACCCTCTCTTTGTTACCTTGATGAAATATAAACATGATTATAAGAAGATTTCACATTGAATCAGAAACTTCCAACCTCTTGTCTGTATGTTCCATTCTTCCTTTAACTCCATTAAGTGCATATTGTAATTAGTATACATTTTAAATAGGTTTTAAATGGGTGCATCATATGAAATATTTTCCTATTTTGAAGTAATTTAAAGCCGAATAAATTTACAGTTTTGAAATATAAAATAAGCTCTTTCAGATTTAAAAAAAACTTTTTTCTATTATTAAAATCTAAAGGATTTTTAAAATCTCATTTATTTTGTCAATTGGTTCTGCTTAACATTCTTCAGCCCAGTCCACTCTCAATTATCCACGCTAAGGAAGGGGGATCAGTGGCCTGGATAATCTAAAACAGCAGACGATTTTAAAAGCCCTTGTATTTGGCCTGGGCATACTTTACAATCAAATTCTGATTATCCACGCTAATGAAAGGAAGAGCAGGCACCTTGAGAAAGATCCAAAGCCAATATAGATCTGCTCGTCTGGTTGAGGGTGCCCCAAGGAAGAGGGCCACATAGTAGAACAGAAGGAAAACAGCAGGGCCCCAGCTGCTGCTGACGGCACCACCCACGACATGCAAAATACAAACACACAGCTGCAACAGTCATATCAACACCTCTCATGATGTTAGTCCTCTTTAGATACATGGAGTTATGTTCAAACGCCCCCAGGTAAAAAGGCATATTATCCATGCTGTTCCAAATTGTTAATATAATGTTTGTTCGTATATACTAAAAACCTCTTTTAGGGGTTCTCTTCACCCCCATCAGTCATCGAGCCCTTTACTACCACTGCCAAGTTCACAGTAACACACTTGGGAGAGTAGCATAAAAGATGAAAGAGGCAGTGTGCTGGAGTAGCTCAAGCTCCAGCCTGGAAGTGAGAAAGGCTGGATCTTTGTCATCTTTTGATCTCTGTTGATGCCAATAGTCATGTATATTCAAGCAAAGGGAACAGCATGTGCAAAGGTACAGAGGCATGAAGGTCATGGCACATTTAGCAAATTCCATGTGCTTTATTTTGGTCAAAGAGTAGGATACAAATAGAGAAGAAGCAAGAGGTGAAACTGGAGTTGCAGTCAGAGAGAAAATTGCAGGGTTTTCTTCTGCTATTCAAAAAGTTCAGAAATTATCCTGCAGAAGGTCAGAAGACATTTCAAGTTCTTTAACAATTGTTGACATTTACTGAACAGTTAAGATTTGCACAGCATTGTTCTATGCATTTGTTACTTATGAACACATTTATATTTACAATGATCCCAAGATAAGCACTATCACCGTTCTCATTTTGCAAATAAGGAAACTGAGGCCTGCAAAGCTTAGATATCTTCCAAGATCATACAATTGATAAGTGGAGTCAGGGTTTAAATCCAGTCTGTTTGATTTCAGAGCTCATCCTCTCTCTCTGAAAATGGAATAATGTGGTCAGATTTGTAAAAGACCATGCTAGAAGTAATATGCAAGAGAAATTGGAGGAGAGTGGAGAGGACAGAAGGAAACTTTAAGAAGATAAGAAATGCTAAGTTCCAGAAGGAAAGGTAGTAGCAATGAAGAAGATGGGTATAATCAAGAGGTTTAGAGGAGATAGAATAAAAAGGAATTGGTAAAATGAAGGAGTAAGAGGAACAGTCTAGCTTATTTCTGGTTTGGGCACTTGTGTGACGGTCTAATAATTTTTAAAGATTCATTTAACCTTGTGCACCAGTGAATTTAGCTAGGAAGCAACACCTACCAGATGGGCAAGCCGAGGAAGGAACAGCACAACCAACACCTTTTTTTCCTCCAGTACAAGGCTGGCACATATTTATTCAAGTAAACAAATGTCCTCTCTTAACTGACTAATTTAGTAATGACAAAAAAATTCATGTATGACTGTGTGGTCCAACAGATAGAACCCCTACACCAAACAAATAATTAAGATACAGTTATTTTTATCTGGTTTCTCAAAGTTAAATATATTGGCTCACATTTAGCTTTCTGTGTAACATCCTTGTGCACTGTAGAAACACAGATAAGGGAGAGAGGGAACAGGAAGAGGAGAAAGGATGCAGAGAAGTGTTATAGCTTATCAAGATATTTCTAAGTGTGTTAAGAAAACCACAACCATTTACAGAATGCTCTTATCAGAGAAATAAGTGTATAGGTACATGTATGTCTACAGATACATAGAAAAATACTGAAAATATACATATTCTAAAATTTTAAATATCTACTGGCTAATTATTTTATTTTTGGCTTATTTGTATCTTTTAAATGTTCTAAAATTATCTTGTATTCCTTTCATAATACAAAAAATATTTCTAAACTTATGTGACTAGCACCCACTCTACTCAGAATCTTGCTGATACAAAAGAATATACAGCCAGACGCGGTGGCTCACGCCTGTAATCCCAGCACTTTAGGAGGCCAAGGCAGGCAGATCATTTGAGGTCAGGAGTTCAAGACCAGCCTGGCCAACATGGTGAAACCCCGTCTCTACTAAAAATACAAAGATTAGCCAGACCTGGTGGCAAGTGCCTTAATCCCAGCTACTCAGGAGACTGAGGCAGGAGAATTGCTTGAACCTGGGAGGCAGAGGTTGTGGTGAGCCTAGATCGTGCCACTTCACTCCAGCCTGGGCGACAGAGTAAGACTCCATCTCAAAATAAATAAATAAATAAACCTTTCCAAAAAAAAAAGAATATACAAACAGGCAGACCGACACTTATCAATAAATAACTTACATATACACATAGGGAGGGCAGCAGATACCTTTCAGCACTGCCCATGAAGCCAGCTGAGGTACAGGAAAACTTAGTAGATGCAGAATCTGTGTTCAGGAATTGAGGGAGGTAATAAATTATGAAAAATGCAAATGGATTGGATCAGCTGACCTCAAAAGCAGATGATGAGACATGTTTTCTTTCTCAGTCATAGTCACCTCCCCCTACTATGACTTTTCTCACAGTATCTGAATATTTTGCTTTCTCTTGTTATACTGTCTGAAATTCCATTAATTCCACATTAGCTCATTTTCTTAGTCCATTCTGGCTGGTATAACAGAATGCCATAGGCTGACTGGCTTATAAAGAACAGAAATGGTTCAACTCGAACTTATGAGTGAGAACATGTGGTGTTTGGTTTTCTGTTCCTCTGTTAGTTTGCTGAAGATGATGGTTTCCAGCTTCATCCATGTCCCTGAAAAGGACATGAACTCATCCTTTTTTATGGCTGCATAGTATTCCATGGTGTGTATGTGCCACATTTTCTTTATCCAGTCTATCATTCATGGGCATTTGGATTGGTTCCAAGTCTTTGCTTTTGTAAATAGTGCTGCAATAAACATACATGTGCATGTGTCTTTACAGTAGAATGATTTATAATCCTTTGAGTATATACCCAATAATGAGATTGCTGGGTTAAATGGTATTTCTGGTTCTAGATCCTTGAGGAATCACCATGCTGTCTTCAGAGAGGGGAATATCACACACTGGGGCCTGTCACAAGGTGTGGGGGAAGGGGAAGGAGAGCATTAGGACAAATACCTAATGCATGCGGGCTTAAAACCTAGATGACAAGTTGATAGGTGCAGCAAACCACCATGGCACATGTATACCTGGCACATGTAACCTGCACGTTAATCACATGTATCCCAGAAGTTAAAGTAAAATTTAAAAAAACGAAAAAAAGGAAAGAAATTTATTCCTCACAGTTCTAGAGGCTGGAAGTCTAAGATCAAGGTGCCACTACAGTCAAGTTCTGGTGAAGATGCCTTCCTGGTTGATAGATGGCTGACTTCTTTCTGCATTCCCACATGGCTGGGATCTCTTTTATTTAATATGAGGCAGAATTCCCATTCGTGAGGGCTCTGCCTTCCTGACTGTATTAGTCTGCTTTCATGCTGCTGATAAAGACATACCCAAGACTCGGTAATTTATAAAGAAAAGGAAGTTTAATGGACTCAGTTTTATATGGCTGCAGAAGCCTCACAATCATGGCAAAAGGTGAAAGGCACATCTTACATGGTGGCAGGCAAGAGAGAATGAGAACCAAGTGAAAAGGGAAACCCCTTATCAAACCACCAGACCTTGTGAGACTTACTCATTACCACGAGAACAGTATGGGGGAAACTGCCCCCATGATTCAATTATCTCCTATCAGGTCCCTCACACAACATGTGGGAATTATGGGATCTCCAATTCAAGGTAAGATTTGGGTGGGGACACAACCAAACCATATCACTGATTAATCACCTCCCAAAGCCCCCACCTCCAAATACCATCACATATGGGGATTAGTGTTTCAACCTATGAATTTGAGGGGAACACACACATTTAGTCTATAGCACTCATCTTCTTCATTAAAAAGCACAGGACTAGAAAACTTCTAGAAGTTGGATATATTAGTGATGACAAGGAGGATGATAATGGTAAAAGGGGGCAATTCATTCATTAACTTTGCATAGAACCTCATGATTTATGAGGCACTTTCAAATATTAATGCATGTTAATAAAGACTTCTACATAAGTTAATATTATATTAAAGTCTTTAAATATTTCCAATTCAAGGTGGGGAATACAGTGAACATATTTAATTCCTTTTCTTCTCACAACCCCATTGAAATAACAGTAAATAAGAGAAGGAATCCACAACTGAGCTGAAAACAAACAAACAAAAAAGGTCCCAATAGAACAAAACATTTACTAAAGTACTTTTCTGGGCCAACCAATTCAGACAGAAGTCCAGGCCTCAGAGCAATCATTATGGTAATTAAAGGATTATCTTATAGCTTGTTTGATGGGTTTTTCTTCTCCATAAACAGGGTCATTGGTTCTGCCTTTACCCCATGTTGAAGTCCTAAGAAATGCTTCATAAAAGTGAGACGTGTGACTGGGGAGGACTCCTATCATGGGTACTGAGGCCATAGAAAAAAAGCAGAACAAACTCTAGAGCTAAAAACATGAACTTGAAAGGACGTGCAGAAAGGAAACACAAAAGTTAAAATCAAGCACACTCCTCCTTAAAGTCCTTGCTATATGGCAGTTATCAAGGTCTAAATTTTGGCTGTTTCCACTCACACGCATAATCTTTTGTGAGACAACTGACTGTCAATAGATCCCACCAACTTATATAGAACTCTGTTTTCTTATAGAGCCAACCCTGACTCAGTTCATAGAACTATCTAACTTCAAAGGAAGCCTATATCAGTTACTGGTATTAATCAAGATAACCATTCATTCATAAACATCATATGGCATTTGACAAAAAACAAGTAACCCGAAACATAAGGACCAAAATTCTTTGATACACACAAAAAAGAGAAATTAATTTTAAAAGTTTTCATTGTAAATTGGTCATTTATAATTATGTATATTAACACAGTATGAAGTGATGTTATTATTGATGAATACGAATTTTAAAAATTAAATCAAGCTGGCTAACATATTCATCACCTCAAATACTTAACATTTTTATGGTGGGATCATTTGAAATTTATTTTCTTAACAAATTTGAAACATACTATATTATTAACTACATAGTTAATAATTTTTTGAGATGCAATAGATCTCAAAAAAAATTTTTTTTCTCCTATCTGACTGAGGTTTTTTACCCTCTGATCATTATCTCCCAAGATTCCCCCACCCGCTAGCTATGTAACCACTATTCTCTTCTCTGCTTCTATGAGTTTGATTGTTTTAGATTCTACATGTAAGTGAGAACATGCAGTATTTTCTTTCTGTGCCTGTCTTATTTCACTTAGCATAATGTCCTCCAGGCTCATCCACATTGTCTCAAAGGACAGAATTTCCTTTTTTTTAAGGCTGAATAGTTTTCCATTGTGTATATATTCCACATACTCTTTATCCATTCATTTGTTTATGGACACTTAAAATTGATTCCAATATAGATATTGTGAATAGTGCTGAAATGAATATGGAAATACAGACATCTCTTTTACAAACTGATTTCAAATCTTTGGGGTAAATACCCAGATGTGAGATTGCTGGATCAGGAACTTAATTTTTTTAATTAGCATTATTAAAGAGATTTGAGAGGTGACAACATCCAGAAAATAAAATATGTCTCCTGAAACAGAAGCAATTAAATAATTCATTCCTAAAAATTAGAAATATGAGTGCCAAAAATAAATATTCAATAGAGGAGTTGAAAAATAGAATGAATTCAGCTAAAGTCCAAACACAGTTAAAGTATCGTCATTTGGAATAAAAAGTTGAAGAAATTAATCAAGATCCAAAGAAGCACAAAATGTAAGAAAAAGGTCTCCAACATTCATCCAATGAAATTTTTTAAAAAGAGAGAGAGATCAGCATTAGGAATTTGCAAGTGAGAAATTGGAGACTTAGAGAAGTTAAATAATTAAACTGTCTAGTAGTCTATAAACAGAGTCCAATATATTTTAGATGTGTCCCCCTCCTAAGCCCAAGGTTGAAATTCAATCAATACATCTAAATGTGGCCTTGGTAGTTGTGTATGGCTGACGTCCACTCTGACCGGTCAATCCAAATGTCAGTCTAGTCTATGCCTACTATTTATAGTTGGCATCTGATTGGTGAGCATGGCGAGTATATTTGTTGATTAATATTTGAATATCATCCCTCTCTAAGCCTGTACTCTTCCAATGATGCCTACATCATTAATTTCATGGTACAATGAAAAAGGAGGGCAATATTTGATATTTTTGTGAATTTCAAATTTGAAACTGGGGGAAAGAAATAAGAATGGTTTCTGTCATGTCAACTTTTAAGCTATGATAAATTTCATGGGTAAATGCCCACTTCTCTGCTCCCTGTTTCCTTACATACCAAGAAATAAATGACCATGCTTTAAGTCTGCTTCCCTTCCGTCTTTCTTAGGTGGTCCAGACAAGGAGCATATCTGTCTGGATATTCCTCTTCTTGAAGAGTACCAAGAGCAGCCAAGAGATCAAGTCTCAGACTGCGATGTTTAATCCATGGGATTTGGCAGAAAATAGAGACCAAGACACACAGTTAAAATCCGTTGAGTGAAGAAAGCAATCAGGAAGTGGTCTTAGAGAAATATGGGGCTTGTGCTGACATTTACAACGAGTAGATGAAGTGTGTCTCCAGCTTAGGTTTGTGTGAATCAGTTGAGTTTTTTTAAAAAAAGGACCAAAGAAAAAACAGCCTATATAGAAACACCATAAACTCAACTTATAACCAAAAAATACAGCTGCCATGTTCTTTTTCCAATTTTTTAAGGGAACACACACATGCACACACACACACACACACACAAATGTCTTAACTACAAGAATCCACCTTTAACGTATGGCAAATAGAGATGGCCAAAGTCTGAGGCAATCCCCAATTTCTGCCGACATAAAACCAAAGTCAAACTTAAAATCAACTGTTATATTAGAGTAATATCAAGGATTCACAATGGCATTCCTAAAACTGAGAACTTTGGCTCCTTAAAAACCACAAACTCAGATCCCACTAGGAAGCATTAACAGAGTAGTTTAGACTTTGCTTAGGATTTGTGGGATTTTGCAAAGCATGTTCGCTCCTTAAGAGCCTTCCCTGAAATCACCGGGAGTTAGAAGCTCATAAGAACTGTAGAATTGGGTCCTCAATGTCATTTTCATATCTCTTCCGTGGCCTACCATCAAAGTAAACAAAATGCCACGGAGCTACCTGATGTTTTTGCACCTCACGTTCCCTCCAGCCAAACACAGAGGACAGAGTCAGCTTCACAAGGGGTTAAAAATCATGGGAATTTTTCTCTACTTAAAAACATTGCGGGAGACTCACTTCTGTATGTACGATGATTTTTTGCACTTTCTTCCCTGCCTCTTAGTCTAACAAATACATTTTTTAGGTTTTACATGGTTCTTTACAACTCACCTAAAACACATAATTTTCCTCCTGCTTATACCATTTATTTATTATTTATTTATTAGATTCGTATTGTGCTTTCTTCCAAAAGGCTCAAGGCACCATGCAGTCAACTCTTATGTAATAACATTAAACTCTTCTATAAGACCATAAACAGTGAAATAGCCAGAGGAGAGGAAGAAAGGATCTGAACAAGGACAGGACAAAGGAAAGGCCGTGATTCCGGCAAAATACGCAACCAAGTAGTCAATGTGTTAGGAGACCTGGTGATAAGGCCCAGTCCCTGCCCCTCTCAGTGGGGCCCACCTGCAAAGACCCTGACAGTATTTTCTATATGGAGACAAAATATCTCCATTTTCGCAGTGAGGGTGAGGGAGAGTATGCTAGTTATTCTTCAGGGATTTCAAGAGAGTATCTGAAAACAAATATACCAATACAGACAACTGTATTTTGAAATACAGTGGAAAGAGAGACAGTAGAAAGAGATACGTGGTAATGTTTTATAACAAATCTTTAAAAGTGTTAGATTTTTTTACAAATACAATTCAGGCTCAGTCCTCAGCTCTGCTGAGTGTCTCCTGACTTCCAATGCATCTACAGACCTTCCAAGGCCAGGGCAGCACAAAACTGCAAAGATTATCAAAATCAAAAAGAGACAGGCTGTTCTCGGCTTTAAATCCAAGCCATGCTGATTTGATAAAGCCACGAGTGAACTTCCTGCACTGTAATCCAGTCGATGGTGGGAGAAATGGTTAAACAGTAACTCTCCTGGCAACTGCTGGTGAAGTAGTCAAGCATGAGCAAGGAGGGAATAGATTCTAACTAGCAGTCCAAACAAGAAATGACCATTCCCACTAAATGGAGTAGACAGTGTAACTCTCCTTCTCTCAGAGTGCAAGAGAATACAGCCAGGAGAAAGAAAAATAATAATAGTATTGGCATTAATATTAGTATTTGGTGAGCACTACATGGGGGCACTCTTATACCACAGTTACATATGCTTACCTCTTCAGTCCCTAGAACCAATCTACAGAGAGAGTATGACTATGTTTCAAATTTCACAAATAAGAAAACTGAGGCTTAAATATATTATTTGCCCAAAGTCACTCTGCTAGTAAGTGCTTGAGCTAAAATTCACACACAGCACAAAAGGATCAGGAAGAGCTCCTAGGGTGGAAAGCAAGCAAGCATGCAAAAGTTATGCTGTGAGTTGACAAAGATAGCAGGCTGATGGCTCTTGGCAGAGCATGATGGATCAAGTACCCTACCTAGTAAACTATAGATAGTTAACAGCAGGTTAGAGGCCACAAATAAAGACCTCAAAATATGGCAGAAGCAAGCCTAAGTCCGAAGAGCATAGGACAAACTGGCTCCAAGCAGACAGAAGAGATGCAACAGTATTGAGATCATGTGAAGAGAGGAGCTCAGAATGGGCCAGTTAATGTTACCTCCAGGTCCTAAGTGGGCAGGAACTCAAAGTTAGTAGTTGAAACCCACTCTATTGTCTTGTATAACTGCATATTTATGCCAAGTTAACTGTAGAGTTCCATAGTGAATCATTCTTTGTAATCCTTTTGTGATCCTCCCAGATATGAATATGATGCATCGAGCACTCACTAAATGCCAAGTACTTAACACACATTATCTTATTTAAACCTCATA
This sequence comes from Homo sapiens, assembly GCF_000001405.40. NCBI lineage: Eukaryota > Metazoa > Chordata > Mammalia > Primates > Hominidae > Homo > Homo sapiens. The sequence goes on along the minus strand of NW_025791774.1, from coordinate 16,961 downwards.
GCTGTGCTACACAGGAGACACCATAATAATCTCCATCTTACAGGTGAGGAGGCACAGAGAAGATGAGTCATTTGGACAAAGTCACAAATCTAGTAAAAGGAGAGATGGAATCCAAGTCTAAAGAGTCTTCCCCCAAAGCTCATCTTAATAATCACCAATGCTATGTTGCTTCTAGAATCTGATTCTATTTACACCATTCTGGTGCTCTACCATGCTTTCTCGGATTTTTCCGACCTCTCTTTTGAGACGGAAACTAACAAAGATCATTGCTTTTGTTTTTATTCCCAGAGGGTCAGCCTATTCAGTCACCCTCTACAACAAAGTGGAAATTATCTGGAAGAAGATGAAAGAAGATCCCATGTAGCGAAAAAGGTGGCATGGAATCTCAGCCAACCAGGACACTGTCAGACGTTCCTTTAAAAGAGCCTTGTATCACAGATCATATATGTGCAATAATATACATAATCCCCCAGTGGGAGATGTCTTCTACATGGCAGTTATCACAACTGTGTAGTAAAGATTCCTCCTTCCCATTCTAGAGGATGGGGAAATAGCAATTGAAGCTAGGAATCACAGGCAGCATGGGTTGTACCAGGATCAACTTGTCCTGTTTCTTTGTCTAGAAAGATCTCCCCATATTCAAATGGCAGTCTCCTCCTCATACCTTAAGTTTAGACGGAATGATGCTAGTTCACAAAGATCCTCCTTGATGACCCATCCTGAAGAACTGGTTTTCACGTGACCCTTTCCCACAACATCCTATTATCACCATAGCACTTACCATAGCAGTCATTATTTCATTGATTGATTGACTTGTTTTTCTCGGTGTATAAGTTTTCTAGGGGTGCTGTAACAAAGTGCCACAAAATGAAAGCCTTGAACAACAGAAATGTATTCTCTCACAGTTCTAGAGGCTGGAGTTCCAAAATCAAGGTGTCAGCAGGCTCATGGACCCCCAAGTCTCTAGGTAAAATCCCTCTTGCCTCTTTCTAATTTTTAGTGGCGACTATTGCTCCTTAGCTTACTGTAACATTCCAATCTCTCTCTCACACACGGTGTTCTCCTTGTCTCTTTGTCCAATTTTTCTTCTTTCAAATTTCCAAATTTCTCAGTGTCCAAATTTCCTTCTTTTTAGGACACCGGTCATATTGGATTGCATATCTGCCCTACTCCAGTATGATCTCATCTTAACTTGGCTAATTACATCCTCCAGTGGCCAATTCTGGCTTCTAGAACCGTAAGAGGATAAATTTATGTTGTTTAAGCCCCACAGTTTATGATATTTTATTATGGCAATCCTAGGAAGCTACCACAATAACTCACTTTGCTTTGTTTAATCCAGGGTTTCATATACTTATTTGACCAAATAAATATTTTCTCCATGGTAGCTATTAACAATCTCTAACTCCCTTTGTGGAGGGGAAGGGGGGACATACGTGTTTTAGAAAAGTAAAGCTCATCTTCCTATTTCACAGATGAAGAAACTGAGACTCAAGGAGGACAAAGAATTCACACACTTGTGTGTGGTAGGATGAGGATCAGAACTTGGGCTCCACAGGCACTCTGGGTGCTCTTTACCATTTGCTTCTATTTACTTCTCAGCTGCCCCAGGAAATATGGTGGCATACAAGATTAGGCTTGGCTTGGCGCTCACTAAGAATAGAACAGGGAACTTTTCCCAATTAATGAAGGGCTCTTTGAAAAAATCGACCCAATATTCTTCCAGCCAATAGAAAAAAATGATTCTCCTTTGTAGAGGAGTTGGGGCAAATGGATTCTAAAAATCAATTATAAAAGCAGCTGGTCCAATGTAAACTGATGTCTCAGCTGAGTTTGGACTGACTGAAAATCCAGCCACAGCTTGGTTTTCACCTCTTCATCCCTCCACCCTTCCTTGTGCCTAAAGAGACAAGAGAATGTGAGCCCCCACCCCTGACATGTTTGAAAAGGGAAACAAATTCATTGATAACATTGTGGTCTGTTCAATTCTTTGCTTTTCTTTTTGCCTCCTTACCCCACCATCTTCCTCAGGTACACAGGACACACCAGAAATAAAGCACTCCCACCCCAGTGAAGGGGAGAGAGTGTCCCCTACCTTCTACTTGATAAGCTGCAGTGGCTGCCGCCCATCCAAATCCTGCAGGGAAAGCCATGGTTTAAGAAGCTGTCTACTGGGATCTTCAGCTGCCAGAAGCAGAGCACCCTTTGGCCAGAGGAGCCAGGCAATTGTGCAAACAGAAAATGAGCTCTCACCCTAGAATGAAGCCTCAGAATACAAATATTTATGCAAACAACAAGGAAGCAGGGGCAAAGGACACTTGACTGCCACAGCCTTGATAAGAATCCAAGATACTTTGTACAAGGCCATCATTTATACTTTCTTCCCCCAGCACTCCCTGATTCTTAACAGAGTTGATAACCCTGGGTGCTAAGTCCCTGATTTGGCAGGGCACCCATTTACCTGATGTTTTGCCTTTTAAAGTAACATGAACATTGTTTTAAAAAGTCATTATCATCCTACTAGAATTTTCCCTTAGTTCATTCATCCCAATTCCTGATCCGTACTCTGTAGAGGTAACCACTTTTAACCATTTCTTCTGATATTTAATCCCATATTGTGTAAATAATAGGGTGTTGCTGCTTATTTTTTTCAATTTTAGATAATTATTGACTTCTGGGTATAGGGCAGAGGATCTAGCACTCTCTCTCTCTGTTCCTCCTCCCTCCTTCTCTTCCACCTTCTCCCATCTGGCCAACATGATAAAATTACCTTTTCATTTAAATGAATTCAATATTTATATTTCTATGAGTCTGTATGGCTCAAAGCTGAGCCATATAGTATACATACCATGCTTCCATGCAACTTTTAATTTTCTCTAGGGTTAATCCACTGCCTGATCTTTATGTTTATTTCATCTTCTTTACACCTATTACTAATTCATCCCCAAACACTCTGACAGAAGAATACATCTCTGAGTTGTTCAAACAACTCTGTCTTCCTGCTCCATTCTGCACTGTTTATTTTTTAGGACACCACAGAGCTTTGACCCACGATCTCCTTCACATCATTCAGAGAGGCTCCTTCACCTCTCCCCTGGTCTTTCTGTTTCTTTTCCCGCTTTAGAGAAGCACATCCTCAAATAACTGTCTGATAAAGGGGGCATGGGACATAAATATTTCAAAACTCTGTAGTTGCTCTGGAATTGTCTTTAGTCTAACATTGCTCTTAATATGCAGTTTTGTACAGGATTTTATGATGAAAATAATTTTCACTCAGAATTTTGAAGGCATTGGTTCCTGATTTTCTAGCTTCTGGTGTGGCTACTGACAAGTTTGATGAGAATACAAGTCCTGTTCTTTTATATGTAAACTTTTTTATTTCCCCAGCCCACCCTCTCTGACCCCCAAGTTTCTGTTTCTGAAATTTCAGTCATGTTCATTGGTGTGGAACTTCTGTCCATTGTGCCAGGAACCCAGTGGGTATGGGTTTCCACAGAAATGTACATGTTAACAGTAGGGGAAACTGGATGAGGGGCCATGGGAACTCCCTGTACTATCTTTGAAGCTTCTGTGTAAATCTAAAATTGATCCAAAATAAAAAGTTTATTTAAAAAAAAATGACTATGGATTGGGAGGCCAAGGCGGGCGGATCACTTGAGGCCAGGCGTTCGAGACCAGCCTGGCCAATGTGGTGAAACCCTGTATCTACTAAAAATACAAAAATTAGCCGGGCATGGTGGCAGGCGCCTGTAATCCCAGCTACTCGGGAGGCTGAGGCAGGAGAATCGCTTGAACCCAGGAGGCAGAGGTTTCAGTGAGCTGAGATTGCACCATTGCATTCCACCCTGGGCAACAGAATGAGACTCCATCTCAAAAAAAAAAAAAAAAAAAAAAAAAGACTATGGAAAGAGAGGAGGTATGTATAACCGAAGTGAGGAAAGTTACTTACTCGGTTTCTCTACATTGCCATTAAATCATTCTACATTGTGTAATGACAGGAACATAAAGTTTGAAACAAGGTATAAGTAGGTTGAAATCCTACCTTCTCCAGTTATCCTAACTCTAAGAAGAGATTATATACAGAAAGAAATTGGAAAAGACACTGAAGATATTTAAAGGTACATGTTTGGTGAAATAACCTAACAAATGCATGGCAAACTATTAAATTTGGCTTATGTTGTCATTCAGTTCTGAAGCAATTGTAAATTGAGAGAAAAAATAAATATCGAAATGTTTTCACGATAGAACGCTAGATGGCAGTATTGCAATTTTTTTAGGTTTGCAAGTTGCAGTATAAAGTGGTATTAAAATTCAGTTATTTCACTAATGGCTGTCTACACCAGTCGCCCCTGGCTAATTACTACTGCTCTTCTAAAGATACTTCTCCAGAAGAAACAATCTATCTTCTCAGTGCTTCACATACTCTGAAGTTATTAGTCCACAAGTGGCAGAATTAATTTCTCTCAACATTGATTGGGTTGTTGTTCTAATCCAACATTCTCAAGCTTTTTGGTGTCAGGATCTCTTTACACTCTTAAAAATAATTGTGGTTCCTAAAGAACTTTTTTTCTTTCATGTGGGTTATATTTTATATTAAATATATTTGCTGTATTAGAAATTAAAACTGAGATTTTAAAAAAACATTTATCGTTGACTTCAAACAGCAATGAAGAGCATGTTAACAGAAGTTACTTATTTTATGAAAAATAACCATATAACCCCAAACAAACAAACAAAAATATTTAGTGAGAAGAGTGTCACTGTTTAAGATTTTTACAAATCTCTTTGCATGCCTGGTTTAATAGAAGACAGCTAATGTTCCTATCTGCGTCTTATTCAATTTGTTGTCTCTAGAAAACTCCACTGTACACTCACAGAAGAATACAGACAAGAGTGGAAAAGGCAAATCATATCGTAGCATCATTATAAAAAGTTTTGACCTGGTGTACACCCAAGTGGGTCTTGAGGACCTCTAGGAGTCCACAGAACACATTTTCGTAACTGTAGCCCTCCTTGAACTCACTTTCCACCCCTCCCCTAAGACCTTCCATTGCAACCCAGCACCCCTCTGTATCTTTCTCACGTTTCTGAGAACTCATTTCACTCATCTGCCCTGCACTAGGGCCCAAATGGCTCTAAGGCATGAATTTGCAGCCATCATCTCAGGTAAGAAAGAATTATTGTATTTTAGATTTTTCTGTATACAAAAAGTAGTCTGACTTCATGGTCCCATCCAGGAAGATTGGCTGGTAATTTAATTTGTCATTACTGTATTTGGGCCCCCTCTGCTTCATTTTAGGGCCATACAAGAAAATTTGGGTCTTATGAAAACCAAAATTCTTTGTAATACCTGTGTTTCTATTCCCCTACCTCCCAGTGTTGGTCTGTACCAGTTAATGCCAAGATGCCCACTCTCCAGGTCTACTATGGTCTCTTCAAGTCCACTGATTCTAGGGACTCAAGCCTTCTCCAGGGGTGAAGCTCTGAGGTTCTATGTTCAACTGCCGCTCATCACAGCCACAGTAGTTCCTCTGACGTCCTGCCACCTTCTGAAGGTACTGCCTCAGAACAGCACAACAAACCTTTTTATTCACGAGTGTCACCAACCTCTGTCTACTCCCCAAGCAAACATAAGTTACTTGCATTATAGTTTTGTCTACAGGTGTGCTCTTTCTAGAAGTCCTGGGACTGCTAAGTATATTAATCAGTCCTCACACTGCTGTAAAGAACTACCTGAGACTAGGTAATTTATGAAGGAAAGGCGTTAGATTGACTCACAGTTCCACAGGCTATACAGGAAGCAGGGCTGGGAGGCCTCAGTCATGGCAGAAGGATGAAGGGGAAGTAAGCATGTCTTCATGTGACAGGAGGAGAGTGCAAGTGAAGGGGGACTACACACTTTTTTTTTTCCTTGAGACGGAGTCTCGCTCTGTCACCCAGGCTGGAGTGCAGTGGCGCAATGCCGGCTCACTGCAACCTCCGCCTCCCAGGTTCAAGTGATTCTCCTGCCTCAACCGTCTGAGTAGCTGGGATTACAGGCATGCATCACCACACCCAACTAATTTTTGTATTTTTAGTAGAGACGGGGTTTCACCATGTTGGTCGGGCTGGTCTGGAACTCTTGAACTCATGATCCGCCCGCCTCAGCCTCTCAAAATGCTGGGATTACAGGCGTGAGACTACACACTTTTAAACAACCAGATCTCATGAGAACTCACTCACTATCATGAGAACAGCAAGGCAGAAATCCACCCCCATGATTTAATCAACTTCCACCAGGCCCCTCCTCCAACACTGAAGATCATAATTCAACATGAGATTTGGGTAGGAACACAGAGCCAAACCATATCATGAAGAAACTGTAAATTCAGGGACCTCTAGGTAAAAAGGAAAAAAAAAATCTTGCACAAAACTTTATTTGTTAACTGTAAAACAAGCTGTTCTTTAGTAAGAATTCAGCCCTATTAGTCATGATCTTGACCCTCCCAACTTGAATTGCTGAGATTCAAAAACTCTGGCATTCAAAATGCTCCTGCATACCTGTGTAGGAGAAAAAGATTCTAAATGAACGTTAGTCTATCTGTAGCAAAGATGCCTGTGTGTTCTAGCCGCCCTTGTTTCCCCTTCCATCTTGCCACACTTTTTGACTACATTTTTCAGCAACTTTGCAAATGGTTGTGACCACATTACTATGTGTCCTGGCCAGTGGAATGTAGGCAGAAGTAATGTGTACCACTGCCAGGCTGGGACACTACAATCTGCCTGCATAATCATTCATGTTTCAGCCATGTATCATCATTCTTCTTTCATCCACTGGCTGGATATACAGGCTCCACTGGAAGACTCTAAGACCCTAGGAATTCTCAGACGGAAGGAGCCTGGTTCTCTGTATCACAGCATGGAGCAGAGCCACATAACAGCCTGTGAACAATCCACTTTAAACTACAGTGTAAATAAGAAATAAACTTTTATTTTTCTAAACTACTGAGAGTGGAGAGTTGCTGATAAATACACTCTCTGAAAACAAACTGCTTCCTTGAGCTTTTTTTTTTTTTTTTTAACATAGTTAAATGACTTCAAAGTGTTTTCTTCCAGAGGAGAGCCTCTTCAGTGATACTATGTCATTGGAGAAGAAAGGAAGTGGAAGGGAACGTGAAGAAGGGGCAGGTGCAAAGGGTACATCTACTTGCAGTGGTTGGTGCAATGGATTATTCATCATGATTTCCTGCATTTACCAAGAAAGGTCTAGCCAAATTTTGACCTCAGAAGGCAAATTTTACAAAATTGCTTCTCAAAAAGGCCGCCGACTCCTGCAAGTAATCTGCTATTTTTAAGATTTCAATAATTCTAATTACTACTGTACATTTACTTCCTATAAGGTCTCCCAGGCTACCTAAACATCAATTGTATTGCTTTAATATTGACTGGAATTACATAAACTCATTGTGGTAATACCAGCTTCTCAGGCATGAAAATGCAAAAATGAATTAGTTACCATATTGCTCTCAGTTTCTTAGTAGACAGAATCTGTCAAAACATGAGGTGTAGAAAGTAATTCAGTAATAAAGGGCGTCTTTGGTTGTGGAAATTCTGACAGCCGTGTTGTGTGTGTGTACGTGTGCAGGAGCCAGGGGTAGGAACATTTACTAACATGAGCCACCCAGGACTTGGACGACCTACCTTTTGGTAACAGAATTTGATTTTCCATTGGGTATCTGCCTTTTACCCTATGCAGCCTAAATGTTTCTGGAAAATCTGACCCTGGGCCCCACGTAATAACTTGTCAGCTCCAGGGATTCATTTAAGGCCATATTCATATTTCATCTCATTGGTTACAGGGATTAAATTAGTGATGGGCTTGAAACCCAATTCCAACAATAAAAAATGAGAGAAGGTCTGTTAAGATTTCTAAGAAAAAAGCTTCCTCACTTTTCCAAAGAAGCTATCCAGAAAGACATACTCTTCCTGCTACACCTCAATACGGAAGTTTTTAGCAGCCATTTCACAAACATAGAGGATCAACCTTGGCATATAGAGGAAAGAGGGAATGAAATAACCTTTGTGAAATTATGGATTCCTTTTATGGTTTAGGTGTCTTTGAGTTTGTTTCCTGTTACTTGCAACCAAAAATTTCAAATACAGTAAACATGTGAGTGTGCATATATGTGTAAATATGTGTGACACATTGATATGTGCATGTGTTACATCTAGCCATGCATGTGGTATTATGCAGATGTAGATGTGTGTAGATGTGAAAGCAGATGTGTGCATACATGCATGTATGTGTGTATACATGCATGTATGTGTGTATGGTTCACACGTGTCTGTGTATCATAAATCCCTGCACATAAAGGAACTTCAAAACCTTTACTGGATATTTTTTCTAGTTGTCTTGAATGCTGGCCCATATCACCAGCCTGGAAATGAAGATAAATGTGAGATAATTAATGGCAGGCTCAAGTGGGATTCGATTGCATTATTTGCATTTAGTTATTGAAGGCTATGCACCTCATAAGATTTAGCATGAAAGAAATCTAAAACAACAGCAGTACATCACTCAACCTTTCAAAAAGCCATACTGCTGTATAATTAAGGATTTGCTATTGAGTAATTTTCAAAACAAACAAAAATGCTCTGCCCTTCAAGGTGTTGACAGGCTGACACTAACAATGGCAAACAAGTAATCATAAAACCCACTCAATACCACACAAAGCTCAACTGTTGAGCCTAGTGCTTTAAGAATAAACGGCAGTCAGTAGAGGCAGGGCCCTTGGAATCCCTTTTGGGTGCCTTCCAACAAACACCCATAGCTGTGGAATCGAGTTCCAGCAGCAGCATCTTTCAGGACGTTATTCACAGTGCAGCTGCTAGAAACTCTATTTCATTGATCTGATTCGGATTCCTCAGATATGTTGTTTCCACAAACTTGGACTTAGCCAGTTAGGTCATCTTCCCAATAAAAAAACTCTCCCTTGAAACAAGCTAACTCCGTTGTATTCCTACAGAGTATCTGGAGAAGTGTTCAAATGAACTGAGATTATGGTGAGACAAGTAAGGTTCCTCGGGGGCAAAATTTAGGGAACTGCACGCTCTCACTGCAGCTCCAGCATTGAATACCAGAAAGAGAATACTCAAGTTCAAAGGCCTTGTTGTAGACATGAACTGGTGTTATTTCTGAACTATTTGTGGCAACGTACAGGTGTGCCACATGCCTCGGGACTAGGCTGTAGCAATCCACCTAAATCCCATGAGGATTTGCACACTGGAGAGGATCTTTGATTATTAATCTTGCTTCAGGGATTGGATTTGGAACTTCAAAAGCACTTTCCTCCCACAGAAAATCAAGCAATGCATTGGAAGCCCATGATCTGGAAAGGAAGCATAAAAGAATGAAATCGAGCCAAATAAAGTATAAAAACAGAGTGAAACAGAACAATTTTGGTGATAGTAAAATTATTTTAGATCAACTAGACTGGAAAGCCAGCACAGCTTTAGAACTGGGAGAACCTGCCCAGACTTTCCTCTCTTGGGTCCATAATTAAAGACTGCTGCAGAGCCTGGATGCCATCTAAACCCTTCATTTATCCTCCTCCTGCTTCCTGCCACCTGCAGCCCCCTTACAAACACTGTGGACTCTGATTCCTTGACATGTCTTGTGTATGTCAATTTACCTTCATTTCTGTGGCCTCTTCTCTAATCAAAGTCAAAAGAAATCCCTTCAGGGCTAGAAAGGTTTAAATAGGCTCCCAACTTCCAGTTTTGTTCACATCCAACATACTCTACTGCAGCCTGAGTCCTTTCCAAAACACAAATTGTTCAGTGATTGCCTCTGTCCCTGAAGTTCAAACTTCCTGATATTAGCAAGGTCCGCATTATCAGTTTCCTGTCTCCTTCTATTTACACGCACACCAGTGTTCCTCTCATAAGCGTATTTAACTTTTTTCAGCTTTTCAAATCTACTATGATCCATGCTCTTTCTTGGGGCTGATTCTTCACAAATGATGTTTCCTGGTCTGGAACTCTTCTCTCCTTTATCTTGGCTAATCCTTATCTCCTATTGACCAGTTCAAGGTTACTTTTTAAGAACAGACTCCCCAGGACAAGCCAGGTCCCCCAGCACTGTGTTTCCATTGTCTCTTTTATGCCTTTTTGCATAACACTCATATATAACATTTTGTTTTAAAACTTGCTTAGTTGCCTGTCTTCCTCATTAATTCATAACTTCTCTGAGAGTAGGGATTGCCTTAATCAGGCAAGCTAAGAATTAAAGGCTCATTGGGTCTTTTCTCATCAATTCATTCACCAAAAATACATGGAGCATTTACTATGAGCCAGGAACCATACTAAACTCTAGAAAGACAATGGTGAGCCAAGCCAACCCAGTTAGTCCCTGAACATATGGTCCACATTTAAGTCCTCTTATAGTCTACTAATTGAAGTTCCCCAGCTTTGTTTTAATAGCATCCCATTTTTATTCCTTGTTACTTGGGGAAGAATCTAAGAGTAAGTAGACAGTTACCTCTAGTTTTCCTAGAGGTAATGCCTCCTCCCAATACCTTATAGATCCAGAGTAGAGAAACGAAATGGAGAGGCAGAGGGAAGAATCTACCGAAAACTATGGGATGTTGCCCTGCTCTGTTGTGTCCAGGAGGTCATTAATGGGGAAAGGAAACCTCTGAGAGCACTGACTGAAGTGAAATCGGGATTTAGGCTCAGGGAGCAGACAAGGATTCTCCTCAGAGGACTTCATCAGAAAAATGGAAGGTTCCTGATCTTAGCGTAGCTGATGTAAAGTTCCATCCACCCAGTGTGGTGTTCTGATGGTGAGGGGCATCTCCCTGGCTCTGCACCCAACAGAAAGTCTCTCCTCTCCATCTTCTGTAAGGCAACATTGTACTGTACTCACATTCCCTTTTTTGGGGGTCCTCTGAATTGCCCAATGGTACATGGCACAATAACAGCCCTGAACTTAACATTTCATTTCCATAACATTTGGAGCTACCATATAATCTGTTTATTTTAGTGATTATAAAAGATTATTATATTCTCATCTCATGTGTGTTGTATGTGTTTGCATTCTGACTAATGATTTTTTGCATTGTAATGCTCACATACAATAATCAAAATTCACACAACATAAGCCATATATTTGTATTATTCCTGAAATCAAGGTGAGGTCATAAAATATGCAGTGGCAGTCAAAGTCAGTGGGAGGGAGCTTGTGACAAATGCAGATTACCTTGAAAGCTTTGTTTTATGGCACACCTCTCATGTGATTAGTGGTTCACTGCAAAGACAGACATTGCACACACCAACAAAAAGAGAAAACACAAAGACATTACAACTGGGATAAAAACAAAATTCTAGTTTCTTATAATGGCAGAGTAGCTTGATGATGGCAGATTTACCCTATTGCCAACTTCAATTACAAACTCAAAAGGTAACACCAAGAACAACTTTTCGAAGGACCTGAAGATTGTGCAAAAGTGGGTAGAAACTGCAGAAGTTTCAAACCATGAAAGAAGGATTGATCATTTTTTCATTGGGGAAGTGATTTGAATATTGAGTTAGTATTTTCAAATTACGGGTGACATTTCTTTTCTAGAATAATGAGGGGTAGGGGCATAGGCTTGGGTATCAACTGACAAGCCAGACATGAGGCACAGTTTGGTTGTTTTCTAGATACGATTTAAGCTTGGGTGCATTCCTTGACCACCCTAAACCGAAGTGTTTATGTCTGTAAAACAACGGTCATCACTCCTAATTCACAGGATGGTTGCTGGGATTAAATTAGATGATACATGTGAATCCCTGAGAATAATGCCAGGCCCACAGTTGGTACCTTGTCAAAAATAGTCATGGGTAGGGCCTTGCTATTTACTCAAAGTAGTAGCTCGGCTTTCAGATGATTCTGAAGAGAGTATAACCTGGGTTAGACAGGGATTCTTTTCCTAGGAATACAACAGTTAAAATAAGCCAGCTGACAACAGGGTATGATAGGATGGTAATAAACTAGGGGAAGATTAGCAAGTTCTGTTTGTTCATATTTTTCGCTGTGTTCCTGAGTCTTCTGAGACAAGGATTTTTTTTCTCTTGATATTAGAGGGGTGCCCCTCACATGAGGGCCTTATGACCTACTTCAGGAAAAGGTCAGAGAGCGGCCTTCCCAGATTTTATGACCTGCTTCAGGGGAGAAGGCTGAGGGGAAGGTGAGAGTGACTTTCCTGTGTCTCCTGCTTTCTCAAATGTCAAGGGGTCATATTTTGAAATAGTATTGTCCTGAAATTCCATCATAACCTAAAACAAACAAGCAAACAAAAAGCATTTGTTGTCATCACTCATTTTCATATTCCAAACAATATTTGCACTGATGGGTGACAGAATGTGCCACCCCATAGTATGCCACTTTGGCATAAGGATTATTTTGATCTAAAGGCACTTAAAAAATAGCAGAAACAAAAGGACAATCGGCCCTCTCTGTACCAAGAAAAAGGAAATATTCTTGTCACTGGAGACAGGAGAGAACGCCCATGTAGAAAGATGCCTACCTTCCACCAGGAGAGAAGAAACATTTTTGTCACAAGAGACGGGCAGTCAAGGCTGAGAAAAATCTGTACAAACAGATCTTGCTATAACTTGTACCTTCCTTCAGCCTCCCTGTACATTTTAGCTACTTTTACAATTGCCATTCTTTGTTCAACCTAGTATATCAGCACTCAGGTTTTGCCACATCTCTGGGTCTTTGTTTCCTAACAGGGGCTCCCATGGACATGTAAAACTCTGCATGTTTTCCTCCTGTGTATCTATCTTATGTCAATTTAATTCTCAGGCCCAGCTGGAACCTGAAGAGAGTAGAGGTAAACTTTCATCTCCCTGCACTACCCTTGCTGCAATTAAATTTCAGCCCTACAATACAGTTTGAGAAATTCTTTATATGGTTTTGTCATGGAGTTTTCCTAATATCCTTCAGTGAGGCAATCTGAGCTATAAAAATGAGGGAGGAGATAGGGGATATTCAGGAGGTCTGACCCCTTCTATTCTAAAGCATTCAGATATTATTTTTGGAAAGACAAAAGACCAGTCTGCGTTGTCACACTTATTTCTGGATCACTCTCCCCAGCTTGAAGACAGCTTTTGTTTTATTTTTTATTTATTTATTTTTTTTTTGAGACAGAGTCTCATTCTGGCACCCAGGCTGGAGTGCAGTGCACGATCTTGGATCACTGCAACCTCTGCCTCCTGGGTTCAAGCGATTCTCCTGCCTCAGCCTCCTGAGTAGCTGGGATTACAGGTGCGTGTCACCAAGTCCGGCCAATTTTTGTATTTTTAGTAGAGACGGGGTTTCACCATGTTAGTCAGGCTGGTCTCGAACTCCTGACCTTGTGATCCACCCGCCTCAGCCTCCCAAAGTGCTGAGATTACAGGCATGAGCCACCGTGCCCAGCCAACTTTTTTTTATTTCTGCCTCTGCTGCTCAGAAACGTCCAAGTTTCAATTAAAAATGAAAACTGTTTTATGGCATAAATGCTAATGCATAAAGCTAATATTTAGTTTGAAGGGTTTTTTTCCCCCTCAAACCAACTGACCCTTAAATCAATTTTTTTAAAATAATTTGATTGTCAATCATTAAATGACAAACATTGTTGGCCAAGCACGGTGGCTCATGCCTGTAATCCCAGCACTTTGGGAGGCTGAGGCTGGTGGATCCCTTGAGGTCAGGAGACCAAGACCAGCCTGGCCAACATGGCGAAAACCCGACTCTACTAAAAATACAAAAATTAGCTGAGCATGGTGACATGCAACTGTAATCCCAACTACGTGGAAGACTGAGACAGGAGAATCATTGTTTTATCTTTTATTTATTTATTTATTTATGGTTTTTATTTTATTTTTTTGAGACAGAGTCTCAAATCTGAACCCAGGAGGCAGAGGTTGCAATGAGCCAAAATCACACCAGTGCACTCCAGCCTGGGTGACAGTGTGAGACTCCATCTCAAAAAAAAGAAAAAATATATATATTTTTTAAATAAATAAATGCATTATTAAACTTCTCCAAATTGTCTTTTTTTCCCCCCACAATGTTTATTTATTTCATTTCGCCTTTGGTCAATTGAGCTATGTCCATACTATTTTTTCTTTCTAGCTCTCTCTCATGGTATTCTTTTCTCTTCTCATGCACACAGATCTAGACTTCCAAAAACTCTAGTGACTGGAATTTTGTGGCAGCAGAAAGCAGGACACTCACCAAAGATCTTTCTCCTTCATGGCAACCACCCATATACATCTCCACCAAAAATAAAAAGCCTCACACATTTAAAAGAACTGTGATTATTTTACCTAATTTTTTGATGCTTTAAACAGAACTGTCTGTTTTGTCAGGCTGAGGAAAAAAAGATATTTTTATTTGCAATATCGTCCACAAATATGCTACATATGGTTTTTATAGCTAAAAACGCATCTTCTCCTCCAAGTGTAAATATTTTCTTGGGATGAGAAATCCAATAAAACCACAGATCCCTAGCCTTTGTGGTTGGTATAAACAGGCCCTGCTTTTTGAACTTTCAGTCTCCAAATGTGACAGCCACAGATTTTATTTTATAGGTTACTCTTTGCATTTTTAAAAAATGTGTTTGCAAGATTTATTCATCTGTGGTTAAATGTTTCCATGTCTCTGAAGTCACCTGCTAGGATCGGCCCCACTTTACATACGGGAAATCATTTATGGGAAGTGAACAATATTTCCTTTGTAGCTTTAACCACAAGCTGGCTCAGCCTCACCTTCACAATTAACTGAGTTTCCAAAATTATTTTCCTGGTGTGCACTGGGATTCTTTTCTTCTCTAAGAAATAGAGAACAGAATTGCCTTATCCCAAGCCCATGCTGTAGCTTTTAAATGTCAACAACACTTGCACTCTTCTGAAATGCTTAGCTGAGCCCCTGAGGAAGTGCGCTGTAGTATAAAGAATCCGTAGATGCAGCAAAGTTTACTTCTCCAGGTCTCAATTTTCATATGTATTCATTTCCTACCACCCTTTCCCCTTTGGCTTTTTACAAGATATATTTCCAAAATGTGGTTATGTCTTGGTGTTGAGGCTATGACAATATTTATTTTCATTTACATTTGTGCTTTTACAAATGTTGTACAATAAGTAGGCATTATATGTCAGTAAGGGGAAAATATTGTTCTTGAAATAAGACCACATGAAGAGTGGATAAATTCTACAGAACCATCAACAGACCCTGATTCTAATCATTAGTATTTTTCAAAGCAGGTTTTATGTGCATTTCTCTTCACCCAACTAGAAGACAGAAGAAAAACAGCTACACAGGCTTACTGTTCTCTCTCGAGCACTTGCAACAACTGTTTGGAATGGCAACATAGATGCATTGAGTAATAAAGTCACAACTTGCTGCCAATCATTTTGGGCTAAATAAAGCTAACATTCCAGAAGCTCTTGCCCTTCTACTACTCCTTTTTTGTGCACTTCAGCATATCATTTTATTTATTTATTTATTTATTTGGAAGGGGAAATGTTTGTAGTGCAGCTGTTCTCTGTGTCATATGACATAGCAGTTAACTACCCACAGTGTCTTGCCAGGACTCTCTCCCCCTTTTCTACAGTGGTCAGAGGAAAGGAACACCTTCATTCAGAATCATAAAATATAGCACTAAAAAGGCTCTGTTCATGGAATTTGGAGAGGAATCCTCAGTTAGAGTCATGGAGTCTTTTGAGATGGAAATGATATTAGGGGTCATTTAGTAAGGCACAACATTTATAAAGGAAGAAGAGAACCAGAGAACTGCCTGAAGGAGCTCTGTAATAAGTCATCAAAGCCAGCACTCAAGTCCAACTTTTTTCATTCCAAGTCCTATCTTTCTTTCCAGCATTTTAATTCCCCATTCGAAGACAGAGTCTATTATTATTCTTGCAGGCAGAGCATATTTCTACCTTAGAGTTCATATACCAGAAGAGCTTTGCCCAAATTTACTTTGATGTTTTAGCATGCTGGGACATCAGAGAATTCTATATTCCTTTTTATAGGCACATTCACTTGGTGGTTCCACTTTCCAATAGGCGTGTTTCCAACAACAACCAAAGGAGCAGAAAAATTACATTCCTGGCCAAAGTCTATTCACTCCATTCCTATTTTTTTTACTCCTGGCCAAAGTCTATTCACTCCATTCCTATTTTTTTTACTCCTGGCCAAAGTCTATTCACTCCATTCCTATTTTTTTTTACTCCTGGCCAAAGTCTATTCACTCCATTCTTACTTTGTTTTTTGTTTTGTTTTGTTTGTTTTTTTTTTGAGACCAAGTCTCACTCTGTCACCCAGGCTAGAGCGCAGTGGCATGATCTCAGCTCACTGCAACATCCGCCTCCCGGGTTCAAGAGATTCTCGTGCCTCAGCCTCCAGAGTAGCTTGGACTATAGGCAGGCACCACCACACCCAGCTAATTTTTTTGTATTTTTAGTAGAGATGGGGTTTCACCATGTTGGCCAGGCTGGTCTCCAACTCCCTCCTCTGCCCACCTTTGCCTCCCAAAGTGCTGGGATTACAGATGTGAGCCATTGTGCCAGCCCACTCCATTCCAAGAAGGAGGAGGAGAAGAAGAGGAAGAAGAAGAAGAAGAAGGAGGAGGAGGAGAAAGAGGAGGAGAAGGAGGAGGAGAAAAAAAGTAGAAATTACTGCCTCTACTTTTTCCCTTTCTCTGGTATAAAAGTAAAAGTAGCAAAGAGATAAATAACTCTGGAAATATGTTTTGATATATGCTTGGCACTGGATTTAATAACCACAGTGAAGAAAACCCGTGATATTTTGGTTCACTCAAAAATAATTGGTAGCAACCACGTTGACTAGAAAACAGTAAACCAGGTTTCCAAACCAAGAGGGAGATTTCAAGTGAACAGCATATTTTAGGCAAATATCTCTTGCCAGGGTCAACATACTACCAGAATTC